>NC_000011.10:56343255-56646286 GCF_000001405.40 Homo sapiens | reverse complement strand
GATAAACTCTGTATACTGAAGTGTATTTTACTCTGATATTAAAAATCGTGATATTATCTTTAAGGAAAAGTTAAAGAACAAAAGACTCAATCTCTGCTGAATGCAGTTAACATCACAAGGAAGGGGTAAACAGTTTTAGTTGTCCCACTTCTTTAACGGGTGTACTCTAGCATCTGTTCCAGTTATACCTCCTGCTTACCCTGGGTGAATTAGTGTGAATACTTCCTCTAAGAAGAAAGATTTCTTTTATTGTTTCTGCTTTCTTTCTGGTGAATTTAAGCATTGGACGGGAGCATGCAAAGGGATCAAATAGAAATCAAATAGTTACTAAAGGTAAGATGAGATATGTAAATGTTTCCATCTATTTCACTTACTCTCCTTAAGAAAAATTCACAATCCTGTTAATTTCCTCAATCACTTATCAACACAAACTTCCAAGAGCATTGAGTGGCTAAAAAGGAATGTTAAATAAATGTTGTGTGTGTTATTTTATTGCAAAATGTATAGCCATTAGGAAAAATATAAGCAGCAATAAATAATATTATTTTAAAGCCTTTTTAAATAAAATAAATATATCATGAAACTTTAGTATTATTTTTAGAAACTCTTAGAAATTGAGAGCCCAGATCTCTGACTAAGGAATCTCTGGGCTAAAGAATTGACTGAAAAATCTCAGCAGAGCCTGGGGAAATACTGCATAGAAGCAGGAAGAATATTTATCAGAATAGAAGGGGAGACAGAAGAATGTTATTTATACCATCAGATGGAAAACAAATAATATTTTGCTATCTTGCTGATTAATATATGTGAGTCCTAAGAAAGACAATTTTCATCAACTCTAATTATATTTTCTCTTTAGGATACATGACATGTTTATTTAACTAAATGTATTTTAAAGTATTAATAAATCTTTGAGAATCACGATATCAAGCTCTTTGTCTATCAGTGCTCACATCTGTTATTGACAGAGCTTTTCTAAACGACCTCAAATGTTAAGAGAATGAAAGTTACATTGGCTGGACCTACATTTAGACATTATTAGGCTAACTTTGAGAGCCTGGAGAGGCTTCGGGCAAGTTAGTCTTTTATACCTTACATTTCCCATCTGCAAAAAGGAGATGATAAATGCCTATTACGTAGAATTTAAATAAAATAATGCAGGCAAAACAGTTAATAAAGTGTTTGTAGAGCATAAGAAATCCTCAACAGATTTTTGCACATGTCAATACTTAACGTTTTACTCATCATTACTTACGTTGTATGTTTAGCACATATAAGACATTTTATTCTGTGCAATATTTCTGTTAATACTCAGAGAGACTTTCTGTTTGAGAAGGAGAGAAGAAAGATCTATTCCTTTTTTTTTTCATTTCTTCTAAAGATGCTGTTCTTTGAAGTTCAGACAGCAAGATTGCTTCAAGAAAGAGGACCTAGGCTGTGCGCCTATGCCAGTGAAATACAGACAGAGGCATTGTCACATAATTTAGCATCAAGAGGCCTACATTCTAGCTCAGGATTCACCACTGATTGGCTGAGAAACCCCCACACTTTGCTGGCCTCATCTAACAAAAGACTATATTACTTATACTCTTGGGATATTACCTGATAATTTCTTTCACTGATTTGTGGTAAGGCTTATATAAGATAATGGGTGCAATGACACTTTTCAAAATTGTTATGGAATTCTTTCAAAATGTCAGCTTTAATTATTGATTAGGGCATTGAGTCCCTATCTCAATGACAATTAGGTGGAGCCCAGCATAAATAGCTGCTTCTGTGTATGGCACTGTCTGTGATAATAGGACCAGTTGCTGCCCACTGTTTCCCTCACTGTTTTCAGAAACTTCTTTATCTTCAATGCTGGCAAGGGTACTGGGTCACTTTGACCCCGTTTGTGTGTGTGTTTTTTCTTTTTTTTTTTTTTGAGACAGAGTCTTGCTCTGTCACCCAGGCTGGAGTGCAGTGGCGCAATCTCGGCTCACTGCAAGCTCCGCCTCCTGGATTCACGCCATTCTCCTGCCTCAGCCTCCTGAGTAGCTGGGACTACAGGCGCCTGCCACCACGCCTGGCTAATTTTTTGTATTTTTAGTAGAGACAGGGTTTCACCGTGTTAGCCAGGATGGTTTCGATTTCCTGACCTCGTGATCCGCCCGCCTCGGCCTCCCAAAGTGCTGGGATTACAGGTGTGAGCCACCGTGCCCGGCCGACCCCATGTTTTAATTTAAACAGTATCAAATAACTTTTTTCTGTGAGTAGCAAAGGATATAACTCTGTCTTACCTTCTGAGCTATATTTTGACAGTTAGCCTAGTAAGTTTAAACTTTTGTTTAATAATCTGAGATCATGGAAGGGGTGGAGGATTTGCGTTAAATTGGAGGAGAATTCCGCTGGTGGTGTTTACATTTTGATTTGGAAGATCTAGTTTGGGCATCTATTCTGAATTTTCTTTTTTATTTCTTTTACTTTTCTTATCCTATGTTTGTCTTCATTACACCTTGCAAAGGGTGACTCTTATTTCCATTTTGATTACTTGGTATTAAATTATTCCCTTGATTAAGTATGGTGGCTGAAAAATTGCATGTGCTACTTCTGATGTTTTCTGGTTCTCTTGAGAACTTGTGAATGTGAGTATTAGAGATTTTCACTGGCTTGGCTACTTCTGCCATTTTTATCGGGGATGCCTACTCATTCTTACAATCTGATTCTCTAAATATTGGAATGAATTGTGGAAAATTACTATTTAACTGACCCTATTCTGTTCTCTGTAGATGTTTATTATGGAAAATCAGAGTGGGGTTCGAACTGTACTGGCTGTGTGGGAATATTCTCTATTTTCTTCTTTGGCCAGGCATTTTTAAGCTCTTCCTCTACCCCAAGAGATTCTGCTGTTTTTCTTTCTTTCTTTCTTTTCTCTTTCTTTCCTTCTCTCTTTCTTTCTTTCCTTTCTTTCTTTTTTCCTTCCTTCCTTCCTTCCTTCCTTCCTTCCTTCCTTCCTTCCTTCCTTCCTTCTCTCTCTCCTTCCTTCCTTCTTTCTTTCTTTCTTTGTTTCCTTCTTTCTTTCTTTCTCTTTTTTTTTTTTTTTTGGCACCGTCTCACTCTACTGCACAGGCTGGAGTGGTGCAGTGGTGCAAACCCAGCTCAGTGCAGCCTCAAACTCCTGGGGTCAAGCAATCCTCCCACCTCAGCCTCCTGAGTAGCTGAGACCACAGGGATGAGCCACCACACATAGCTTTTTTTTTTTTTTTTTTTAAATATTGCAGAGAGGAGATTTTGCCACATTGCCCAGGCTGGTCTTTAACTCTTGAGCTCAAGTGATCTGCCTTGCCTTGGTCTCTCAAAGTACTGGGATTACAGTTGTAAGCCACCAGGCCCAGCCCAACTATTTTTCTTGTCTGGCACTATAGATTAATTTTATTAACTTTCAATATTTTTATTCATTCTATTAGTACTGAGGAGGAATTGTAAGTGTCCTGAATTCATTCTATCATCCTTCTCCAGAAGTTGTGTCTGGAGGGTATGTCAGTATATATAAATTAATTTATTTATCACAAGTAATTATGACAGTCACATCTTAAGAATAAGTTATTTTAATTATTCAATAAAGAGTTAACTGTAGGAATGACCATAGTTAATACACACTAAATCACTTGCTTCAGTCATTAGTAGACAGCACATCTAGTACTACAAGTCTTTTGATTTGGCATCAAATCCAACATACCTTTTATTATGCTTTTCACTTTTTGCTCTTCTGTTAGAAGTTGTTTCACTAAAAATATATTATAGCTCCATCATGTATTCATCTGACTAAATTCCACTGTGCATCTTCTTTCTTATTGCAGCTCAAATGATGAGACTTATGAAAGAGGTTCGAGGCAGAAATCAAACAGAAGTAACAGAATTTCTCCTCTTAGGACTTTCCGACAATCCAGATCTACAAGGAGTCCTCTTTGCATTGTTTCTGTTGATCTATATGGCAAACATGGTGGGCAATTTGGGGATGATTGTATTGATTAAGATTGATCTCTGTCTCCACACCCCCATGTATTTCTTTCTCAGTAGCCTCTCTTTTGTAGATGCCTCTTACTCTTCTTCCGTCACTCCCAAGATGCTGGTGAACCTCATGGCTGAGAATAAGGCCATTTCTTTTCATGGATGTGCTGCCCAGTTCTACTTCTTTGGCTCCTTCCTGGGGACTGAGTGCTTCCTGTTGGCCATGATGGCATATGACCGCTATGCAGCCATTTGGAACCCCCTGCTCTACCCAGTTCTCGTGTCTGGGAGAATTTGCTTTTTGCTAATAGCTACCTCCTTCTTAGCAGGTTGTGGAAATGCAGCCATACATACAGGGATGACTTTTAGGTTGTCCTTTTGTGGTTCTAATAGGATCAACCATTTCTACTGTGACACCCCGCCACTGCTCAAACTCTCTTGCTCTGATACCCACTTCAATGGCATTGTGATCATGGCATTCTCAAGTTTTATTGTCATCAGCTGTGTTATGATTGTCCTCATTTCCTACCTGTGTATCTTCATTGCCGTCTTGAAGATGCCTTCGTTAGAGGGCAGGCACAAAGCCTTCTCCACCTGTGCCTCTTACCTCATGGCTGTCACCATATTCTTTGGAACAATCCTCTTCATGTACTTGCGCCCTACATCTAGCTACTCAATGGAGCAAGACAAGGTTGTCTCTGTCTTTTATACAGTAATAATCCCTGTGCTAAATCCCCTCATCTATAGTTTAAAAAATAAGGATGTAAAAAAGGCCCTAAAGAAGATCTTATGGAAACACATCTTGTAGAGCCATGTTACCCATCATTTGTTACGTAGAAGAAAATACATTTTCATGTTAACTGTATTCTCTGATTGTTTAAGCTGTTTCTCTGTGTTAAAGTAGATAATTTAAAATGAAGTATACTTTTTAATATCCTAGTATCTCATATATATATACACACACACACACGGGTCCCTTTGATGCACCAATACACTAGATGAAGGTTGGGACTGGAAAAAGTATCAAAACACTTGGAATTGGCTAATCTGGACTTAAGTTTTAATTTAAATATTAAGCTTATCTCAGTCTGAGTTTTATTATACAAACATTGGTGTCTTTGGGTTCTGGGCAAACAAACTGAGACAGAGAGATATTTTTAGGCAGAAAGTTTATCAGAGTGTTCTCACAAACAATATATAGTGAGGGGAGCAGGATTGGACAGAAGGAGTTGAATTGTGACGAAGACTGAGCCACTGTTACATGGCGTTCTGCAGAGATGTCCTTCAGAGATGTCCCAAATTAAGAAAAAAGGAACAAGTATTTGTACCTCCACAATAGCCAATTTTTGGACATGATCACCCACTGAGAGGGGGTAATATTATCTTGGACAAGGCAATTCCCTTCAGCAGGGGAAATTCCTGGAGTGTAGGTCAGCTATCAGCTGTCAGTGGCCTATATGCCTGGAAGCTGGGGAAATGAATACTTCAACCTGAGAGGCAAATCTGGGTAGTGTGGGCCGGGCGCGGTGGCTCACGCCTGTAATCCCAGCACTTTGGGAGGCCGAGGCGGGCGGATCACGAGGTCAGGAGATCGAGACCATCCCGGCTAAAACGGTGAAACCCCGTCTCTACTAAAAATACAAAAAATTAGCCGGGCGTAGTGGCGGGCGCCTGTAGTCCCAGCTACTTGGGAGGCTGAGGCAGGAGAATGGCGTGAACCCGGGAGGCGGAGCTTGCAGTGAGCCGAGATCCCGCCACTGCACTCCAGCCTGGGCGACAGAGCGAGACTCCGTCTCAAAAAAAAAAAAAAAAAAAAAAATCTGGGTAGTGTGCCACAGCATTCATAATAAATAATAACACTACTCTACCTACAAGTATGTCAAGAGGTACCAAATCAGATAGATGAATAAGTCTTATCAGGTATTATGATATTGTGGGAACCACAAGAATAATGGGGGAATATTTTACTGACTTTTGAATTAAACTGAATATTTTGTTGGTAGTAATCAATGTACTTCAACGTTTTATCTCTGCTCTTCCTAAAGGTTCACATAATTTTCAATAAATACTTATCAAAGAAAATTGTATCTGTATTGCTTATCATAGTGAGGAGGAAACTCTCAATGTTGGAGCAATGAGACAACAGCCTTCTGTGATGAGATGACATGTTGAAGGAAGTCTGTGTAATGATTTGGAGTTAGGTAAATGTCTAGTTCTAATTTCTTTCTATTCCGCCATCCACTGTAGACCAGGAGGGAGACACCAGTGTTTTCAGTGTTCCAACTGAGACCACCTCATTCTTAAAAAATTCATTGGAGGCTGGGTGTGGTGGCTCACGCCTGTAATCCCAGCACTTTGGGAGGCTGAGGTGGGCGGATCACAAGGTCAGGAGTTCGAGACCAGCCTGGCCAATATGGTGAAACCCCGTCTCTACTAAAAGTACAAAAATTACCTGCGCATGGTGGCAGGTGCCTGTAGTCCCAGCTACTCGGGGGGCTGAGGCAGGATAATAGCTTGAATCCAGGAGGCAGAGGTTGCAGTGAGCCGAGATCACGCCACTGCACTCCAGTCTGGGTAACAGAGCGAGACTCCGTCTCAAATAAATAAATAAATAAATAAATAAATAAATAAAATATTCATTAGAGACCACAAAAGAAGAACTGTTTCCTCCTAACCACCTGCAAGAGCCCTTTCATGTCATATTCCAATAACTTCCACTTTCAATTGTTAACTGAGGTTTCTCTGAAACACATCCAAAACTGTATCAGAACTTTCATTCTCCTTCATATTTACTTTTATTCTGGTTTATCTGCTATCATATTTATCCCTTAACTTTTGTCTTAAATCACCACTCTAAGGATAGTTGTACTTTATCATTATTCACCACTGTCTTATGTCCGCATTTCACTCATTACCCAGCTGAGATTTCGTGGTTTATCACATAATGACACACTATTAGTTACGCTCAACTCCATGGTTCCACCCTCCCTCCATTCTGCTCGTCTGTCTAAATACCCACTTAGTTAGATTTAATTGTTTCTTCTATATGTCCCCCATTTAAACTGCTTAATACAGTTAGAGAGAATTAATCATCACTTTACTCTGTGTTACTGAACTTTCCTCATACTTCATCCTGAAAAAAAAAAAAGAAGATATGATCATCCTCACCACCTCTACATCTTTATAAATACCCTCCTTCTCCCTTCATGTCATTATGGATAATGTATCTCTGCTTCTACCTAAGACCAGCTCTTTCATGTGTTTGAGTTTTCCACGGCCTTTACTTCTGAAATTATATCTCTACTCTCCCCAAGCATTAGTATCTCAAACTCTTATTATAATATCCTCATTTGTATACAAATATTTTCTAGTGTCACCCTTCTTTTTTTAAATTATACTTTAAGTTCTAGGGTACGTGTGCACAAAGTGCAGGTTTGTTACATATGTATACCTGTGCCATGTTGGCAGTGTCACCCTTCTTCACAGTGTCCTTGAGAGTAAGTCCCATCCAGTCACCAACTTATTAATTCATCCCTACTCCCCTCTATAATTAATCTTTCCAAAAGAGCTACCTCTACTCATTGCCAGACTTCCTCATATCTTATTTACACTATAACATATTCCAGGCATATTTCTGTAACATCTGTACATTAAGCCTAATCTTGTCGAGGACACATGACACCTCAACACTACTTTATCCAAAGATCACTTCTCTGTTTCACTTTTACTTGATAGCTCAGGATTTGTCACAATTAATTCCTCCACCTGCCTTGATATAACCCTATATAGGTTTCTATATCACCTCACTCTTACATTTTTCCTTCTTTCATTCCTACTTGTTCCCAGTTAGCATTTATCGTTTTTCCTCCATCTCATGCTGACCTTTACATCTTGGAGCAAAAGTCATAGTTTTGACATTTGGTTCTCCACCTGCACTTAATTCTTGGGTGACCTAAGAACTGTGCCATGATTCCAAAACCTGTATCTCTAGCCTTGACCTCTCACCCAAGTTCCAGATTCATGTATTTAATTAACAACCTAGCATGTAGGGACTTTGGATACACTAAAGGATTAAGAAATTAATTTTCTCTTCTTAGTTATGATACTCAGACATATGTAAAATAATCCCACCTTTTGTACTACTAGAAGAGACTATACCTGCAAATCATACTTATGTCTTTGGAGTTAAAATTATCTTAATATTAAGTCACAGATTGTATTTTCTATTACGTTGGTGCAAAAGTAATTGCAGTTTTTTGCAACACTTAAAAAAATAGCAAAAACCATAATATTTTTGTACCAACCTACTATTATACTTCTTTAGTTTGTGCTGGAGCAAGAAAATTGGCAACTTTTGTGCCTTTACTCATAATCCATTAATTATTTGTTGAGTAATTTGCATGTAACTTATACTGGAGATATAACAGGTAAGAAAACAAAGTTTCTTATCTCAATAAACTTATATTTAAGTGAGGGAGATTGTATTGTCTCTGTCAAATGTATTGTGCATGTGTGAATGTGTGTGTGCATTTCACATAAACATAAATGGCGTTTTGAAGTGGGCAATAAAATAGGGAGTGGCGGAGTGAAAGAGCTCTCTGTTGAAAAACATCTGAGCAATGCCTGGATAGGGATGATACCATTTGACTGTTTGTGGAAGAGCTTTCTGTGTACACACGCATTAAACACAAGGGCTCCTAGGCAAGATCCTCTTTGGTTTGTTAAAAGAATTGCAAGGAGACAAATATATGTGGACCAGAGAGAGAAAACTAAAGGAGGTAAAGAACAGCAATCAGGAAAATTCTGAGAAAGGGAGGCAGATCACATAAGGCCTAGTAGCTCATAAAGAGGTTTTGTGCTTTATTTTTTTCAAATTACTTTGTAATAGTTGTCTCCCACCAATGCCAGATGGTAAGATGCAAGAGGGAATGGGCAAGATTAATTTTCTTGACTATTTTACCAGTACCAAGGGTGGTGTCTGCTTCATGAAACAAACTTATTAATATTTGTTGAGTGAATAAAAATGTTAATGAAATGAAAGCCATATTCTAGTAGAAAAGAATAAGGATTGTATTTTAAGTGGAATTCTGAGGGTTGGAGGCAGGATCTGATCAATCCTGTAGGTTTAATTCAATGCTGTGCTCAATGGCGCCTCTGGATCATGAGATACTTTTTGTTCTTCTCTAAATTCCTAAGATACTCTCTGAGGTATAAATGATGCACTGGGGAAAATGTAGTTCAATTATCTCAGTGAAAAATGAATTCACTTTTTAATTATGGATTGGCATATTTCAGACTTTAGACTTTTTAGTGTTTAACAGAGACTAAATCTCCAGAGAATGATCAGTCTTAATAAGACGTGATCTTGGGTCTTGGATTCAAAAGCAGGGCATTTTATCCTTTGTTGAATTAAAGGATACAATGCACTGCTGAATTCTGCCATAGTTGATTCCTTTATGTCACCTGCACAGTTTTTCAAAGCCATAAATCTGACTGTTGGAAACAGAAAACCTGTATTCCTACAAAACAAAGGTAAATTAATAAGAACCACTACTTTCAGTGAATATTACTTAAGGACAGAAGGTAAGATCATGTAATTTATCATAACTTGTTCCAATGTAGAAAGTTTCAAGAGGACTTAAAAAAACATTTAAGAAATTAAGATTAAACATCTTAAATTAAATATGTCTGAAATACTAAGTTTAATATTGTCATCTAAACTGTGAACATAAATTGTTTTAAAAGAGGGAGATTTAGAATCACTAGAAACAATTTCATAGAATATTCAACATATATATACACATACATACAGGAATGTATGTATACATGTATATATACACAAATGTGTGTGGTGTAAAAATATGAACATTTAATTAATTTTGCATATAAAGAGAGCAAAACCCAAAGAGATATTTAATTCCCTATGAAGAACCTTAAATTGAATACTTTTATGCCATTAAATGCATAAATTGATAAACTGATAACAATTTTCAGCCTTTTTCTTGAATTTCAGTTGCACTTGCTCTATGACATCAAACAAGTTAATATTCCTTAGTTCAAATTTATGTTTAATACAAGGATAATTCTATCTTGATTAAGTTTGTTGCAATTCCATATGTCCATGAGGGATGATGTATCCCATGCTCTTTTGTAATAAATGGAATGTAAGCCACTCCATATATATTTTTCTAAATATGAATCTAAATTATGTACACATGGTGGGAAAACAGTTACAAAACTAAACAAATTGCTTCCCTCATATATATGTGTGTTTGTGTGTGTATATATATATGTATAAAACATATATAACATAACATACCCATACACTCAGAGGATCATATATATCAGAGAAAAGATGATAGCTTTTACGTCACCTTATACATTTATTACATATATAATGTGATTGATCATATGTGTGTACATATATATTTACGCAAAAATAAGAGACTTAAAGAATGGCTGCAATATTTTAAAGAGGTTATAGAGTAGAATTTTAGCTGTTTTAGAGATAGGAGAATCAGTTTAAAAGACTATCGCAGGCCGGGCGCGGTGGCTCAAGCCTGTAATCCCAGCACTTTGGGAGGCCGAGGTGGGCGGATCACCAGGTCAGGAGATCGAGACCATCCTGGCTAACACAGTGAAACCCTGTGTCTACTAAAAATACAAAAAATTAGCCGGGCGTGGTGGCGGGCGCCTGTAGTCCCAGCTGCTTGGGAGACAGAGGCAGGAGAATGGCGGGAACCCGGGAGGCAGAGCTTGCAGTGAGCCGAGATCACGCCACTGCACTCCAGCCTGGGCGACAGAGCAAGACTCCATCTCAAAAAAAAAAAAAAAAAAAAAAAAGACTATCGCAATAATGTAAGTAAAAGATGGCTTGGTATTTAGTGACAATGAACGTGGCAGAGGTAGCTGGCTTAGGATACAGATCTTTTAAAGGAAAACCCAATTGAATAATCTGATTGGCTATCCAGCATGTGACAAGGAGAAAATATCATGTATCCATCATTTTTGTCTATTTATTTAATTTCACCTGTGCAAATGAAAGCATGGAGCTGTCATTGACTTGAGACGGGGAGTGCTATGTTTGGAGCAAATTAGAGGAGGATATGAGGAATTCAGTTTTGGTCATGTTAAGTTGCCATTTGATAGCCATATGGAGATGTTAGCAGTTAAATTATAAGCCTGGAGTTTGGAAAAGAGGATAAGACTAGAGATATGGCTCAGAAGGTACAAGTACATAGACAATATTTAAAACCATCAGACAATAAGAGCACCTGGGTAGAGTGGAAACAGAAAAGGAGGAAGCTCTGAGACACTCCAACACAAAGAGGGAGAAGAGGAGGAACAAGGAACGGAGACAGAAGGAGCAAGCCATGTAGTAGGAAGAAAAAACAGAGGGCTTGATGTTCTGGAAGAGTAGAGAAAGAAGACTTTTAGAGTTGTAAGTAATTAATTATGTTTAATGTTATTGATAAATCTAGAAAAATGAGGCCTGAGAATTCACCATTGGATTTAGCAATCAAGACCAATGATGTGTTGAACAAAAGCAATTTCCAGGGAGTGATGGAGAGAAAGGCCTGATTTGAATGGGCTAACAAGAAATGCAGAAATGCAGAAAACAAGAAATGCAGAATTCAGTACAGCATATATATAACTGTGTCCGTATGTTTAATTGCTAAGGGAATGGCAGAGGAATGGGAGGACAGGTGATGAAAGCAGTAGGATCGGAATAGGAAGAGAGAAAAGTTGGAGAATAGAGTAGGATATCATCAAAGCCTCTCTCTCTCTCTCTCTCTCTCTCTCACACACACACACACACACACTATTTTAAATAAAATAGGTAATTGAGTTTACTTAAGGGATCTTTTGTTCTTTACCTCCATATAAAATAAAGAGTAGTTATGAACACAGAACATCTTAGAAGTAATCTTATTTACAGTCAAGAATGAACTATTTAATATCCTAGGTTTTTGGGGTATAATTTATTTCATTTGTTCCTCTCTTAAGTAAATTTTATTGTGTATATTTGAGGATTAGCACGTTATGCTGTGGGGCTCATATAGATGTATACTTACACATAGATACATATAGCTAATACAGTTGTTACTATAGTGAGGCAGATTGGCATATTAACATATCTATCATGGTTTGTTTCTCATCCCAGCAAATGAGTCTTCTATTCTGAGACTAAGATATGAGAAACTTTACACCACTGTCTGGATTTATTATCCTGGGATTCACGGATCACCCAGAATTACAGTGTCTTCTTTTTGTGTTGTTTCTTCTCATCTATATGTTCACCGTTGTTGGAAATCTTGGCATGATTCTATTAATCAAGATTGACTCACATCTCCATACTCCAATGTACTTTTTCCTCAGTAACTTGTGCCTTGTTGACTTCTGTTATTCTTCTGTCATTGCCCCTAATATGCTGATAAATTTCTGGGTGGAGAACCCAGTCATTTCATTTAATGAATGTGCCACTCAATTCTTCTTTTTTGGCTCCTTTGCTGGCATTGAGGGTTTTCTGTTGGCTGTCATGGCCTATGACTGTTATGTGGCCATCTGCAAGCCTCTGCTTTATACAGTCCTGATGTCACCCCACCTCAGTGCCCTCCTGGTGTTAGCCACATATCTTTTGGGCTTTGTAAATGCTGCCATTCACACTGGCTTCACCTTCCAGCTGTCATTCTGCCACTCCAATATCATTAACTATTTTTTTTGTGATATTCCACCCCTCCTGAAACTCTTGTTCTGATACACACATCAATGAGGTTGTCATTTTTGCCTTTGCCAGTTTTAATGAATTGAGCTGTCTCCTACTGATTCTTGTTTCCTGTCTCTACATCCTTGCTGCCATCTTGAAGATCCACTCTGCAGAAGGGAGGCACAAGGCCTTCTCCACCTGTGCTTCCCACTTGGCGGTGGTCACTATCTTCTTTGGGACAATCCTGTTCATGTATCTCTGCGTCCCAGCTCCAGCTACTCAATGGATCAAGACAAAGTGGTGTCTGTCTTACACAGTAGTCATCCCCATGTTGAATCCTTTCATCTATAGTTTGAGAAACAAGGAAGTCAAAGCTTCTTTAAGTAAAATGTTTAAAACAGTCTCTTATATCTCTACTTAGAATCATCAAGCCATAGGATGTCAGGGCTCTAAGGAAACTTACAAATGACCAAATCTACTTCCATTTCATTCTGCCATGAGGCTTTTCCCCGATAGTGGAGTTGGACTAACTGTTCCAAGCTTCCTGGAGAATATGGCCACTCTATGTAATTCCCACTTATTCTACATAACCCAATCTCAAAAATAACCAACTATCACAGTTCAACACCATGTTCATAGCTATAAAACCCAGTATAAAGATTGCTGAGACAGAAAAAGACTGAGTGGCAAAAGGAGCAATTCTACCTTCTTCCATGTGTGATGGCTCTTTGATTGGATGATGGTTGAACTGCTAAAGAAGTTATGAGGAATAAGCTGAGCCAGAAAATGTCCAGACACCGAAACAGGGCTTGGAAACTATGCCGTTCCCCTAGTGAACCAGAGAGAAATACCAGAACTAAATAATGAGAGAGGGGCTGAAGTCCAGTGTTCTTAACCTAAAGAAAGAATATGTAGCAAGAATAATGAGAATAAACTCCAGGATAAGTATAAGAATAAAACAACGATTAAGAATGCTAAGAGTTATTATGAAGCAGAAGTTTCTGGGGTTGGGAAAGAGGTATTCTGCATAATTCTTGTATGTAAAGTGTCAGGTTGTTTGATCTTTACATGTGGAAATGATTAAACCTTCAAGAACTAGGGTAAGATGCACATTCTTTCTCTAATGCCTTAGCAAATAACCATACATGTCTATTTTGCTACTAGATGCAATTTTATTTGGGTAAGTTCAAAGTTTTCAGCGATTTGACTGGTAGTTTTAACTGAGATATCTTCTAAGTAGGACTATGTTTTCTTTGCAGATTGTGATCATGGACATGTGAACAATAAATGCTTCCAAATGGAGGGGATTGGATAAAATATAGTTTGTATGATCATAGTAGATGATTTCATTCAAAGACTCATTGTCATCTAAATGGAAAAGTGGCCACTTAAAAGTACCTAAGCAATAATTTTGCTTTCAGTTACAGCATATTATTTTTGATGAGAAATTGTACCTCAATATTATAATTTGATCTGTCTTTATTCTGCTTTCAGACATTGCACATTAAAAATACACAATTGTATTGCTCAATCAATGCTTTTGCCCATCTCCCCATTCTTCTTCCTGAAAGACCTTCATATTTCAAGACACAGCACAAACATTATTTTCATTGTCATTCCCAAAGTAGACAACTACACGTGTATATTCCTGTGATTCTGTAGATATTACAACTCTAATCAGCTCTTAGTCTCAGAAACAAAAGCTAATAATAGTAATAATAATACAATGTAACGTTTCCTAACATAGTCTGAGAGCTCTGTGAGAAATGAAATGTACTTATATACATCTCCATGCCTTCATAGTAGCCCATCAATAAGAGTTTTTAAATTGAGAACATAATTCCAATAGAAGGCACAGGACTATGGAAGACAAAATCATTTTCGATAACCTCAATTTTAAAAAGTCAGTGTTAGAATTGAAAGTTCTATTATATCTGGTTGGGTAATCTGTCAGATAATGTGTAGTCCTTTTAAAGCAAGTTGTCCTGTGTTCTTAGAAAGTAAAAACTTTGATAAACAAAAAAATTTTAGTATTTTGTATCTTTAATTTTACATAAAACAAATGTGATTTCACCATATAGTAATAGAATATTCATCTTTTTTCCATGAAAGGACAAAAAGTTAATCAAACTGACATAGACCTAGAATTAGAACAGTCTCTCTGATGCCAACCCTTTCATTTATTTTCTCATATTATGGATTGATTTTTTCCTGTTCACAGGCTCTTTACACTATATACTCATCTTGACACATTTTCAGAATTATTGCATTACAGGCAAGGTGTCTGTTTTTAGAAAGAACTGTTCTTGCCTGAAATGGCTCATGTGTTTGTTAGCTCTGTGTGTGTGTGGTATGTGTGTATTTGTATATGTATGTGTATGTTGGTGAGAGGGGTGGGGTCATGAATTACCAGGAGAAATCTTGCTCTATAATAGTGGCTAGAGTCCACAATACGTTTATTCAGTAAAATTACATTCCTTGCTTTCCCACTGTTTTTTTCATTAACAAACTCTTAAGCCTAGGCAATGATGCTTTATGCTGTTTAGACCTCAAAAATAAGGTTAAAATAACTCACTCGATTAGTTGATGGACCAGATGTGTTTCCATATGATGTAATTTATAGGCTCCTTTTAACAAAACATGTTTACAACACTGTCTGTCACATTTCATAGAGTTCTTCTAATAGAAAAGATAACTATTGAGTACTGAGCTTAATACCTGGGTGATGAAATAATCTATATAACAACCTCCATGACACTAGCTTACCTATATAACAAACCTTCACAGGTGCCCCCAAACATAAAAAAAAGTAAAAATAAATAAGTATGGCCAGTGTATTTCACATTTGCTTTTGACATAATGGTCAGCATTTGCCCAACTAGCAGTGTGGGTCATTACATTTTATTTTACTAAACACACTGATTACTGACTTATTCTAACATTTTTAAAAATAAAATACAGACGTCAGAACCTTCTTAATATAAATATGATAGTGACTGTAAATATTGGGATTAAACTAACAGCCAGGTCCCCCTTATACAGTAGAGAATCACGAAAAAGGCCATAAAGTATGACAGAAGACTTGAGTTTTAGACTAAAACCTTGAAAATGCAGCTCTTGCTTCTTTGGTTTTTCGATATAGTCTAGATTTGAAAGCTTCATGTGTTTTCTTCTTTGCATCTCAAATTAAGTTTCAAATTAAGTAGACATAGACCAAAGCTACAGTAAGAAAAATCTGGAATTGCAAGATTTTTTTTGAGAAGATAATCATCTTTCAGTAGAGGAAACTGCAATATATCATATGAATGTAAATCATTTTCTTATTCAGAAAACGTGTTGTAAATAATTTCACTTTGCTGATAAGAGTAGCTCAGAGATGCCCAATATTGGTGACCAAGGTAGTGAAAGGAAAAATATATCTGCTGACTAATCAAGTAGAAATAAGTTCTTGAGTAAGACTAAACATATGACCCTGCTTAATCATAAACAGCTGACTTCTGCTGTGGTGATTCCTATCAATCATCACTTCCAAACAACTTTCACATTCATTATTCCCATTAGACTTGCACTTGATCCTAAGCTATGCATATCCAAAAGTATATCACTGTTATTCCAGAGAATTGCATTTAGGTAGAACCAATGAAGGTCACTTTTTGATTTTTTTAGAGACTCATTTATTTCTTATTGGGAAACTGTAGTTACTGAATTTTTCTTCGTCTTACCAAGGTTTCTCATAAACACTCTTTTCAAGGCCTGTTTCACATCCTTGTTTCTCAGGCGGTAGATAAACGGGTTCAGCATGGGACTCACAAAAATACAAAACACCACTCCCATTTTCCCTTGCTCAACAGACAGCTCATTTGTTGGTCTCAGGTACATGCAGAATAGGGACCCATAGAACATAGTGACAGCTGTCAGGTGGGAGCCACAGGTGGAGAAGGCTTTGAGCTGCCCTTCACTGGAACGGATCCTCATAATGGTGATGAAAATGAAAATGTAGGAGATGAGAATGATGAGCAGGGAAACTGTGAGGTTAATCCCTGCTGACACAAACAAGGCAGTTTGTTTTATGTAAGTGTCAGAAGATGTCAACATTAAGAGGGGTGGGTCAGTACAGTAGAAATGGTTGATGGTGTTGGGTCCAAAAAAGGACAAACGAGAGGTCAGTATTACTTGCATCGTGCCCACCATAGAACCCCAGAAGTAGGGGAAAGTCACCAGGCAGATGCAAACTGCTCTGGACATTTTGCTGCTGTAATGTAGGGGATTGCAGATTGCCATGTAGCAGTCATAGGCCATGGCACCAAGCATGTAATACTCAGTAAGGAGCAGAGTCACAAAGACAAAACACTGGGCCAGACACCCAGCGTAGGAAATGGTCTTCTTCTCAGATAAGAAATTAACAAGCTCTGTGGAGAGACATTAGTGGAGTAAAAAATATCCACACATGCTAAATGAGTAAGGAAAAAATACATGTGGGTTTGGAGCTGAGGAGTGAATCTGATTAGGAAAATCATCCCAAATTTCCCAGTCAGGGTGATGAGGTAAATCAGGAGGAATACCACAAAGAGCATAGGCTGCAGCTCTGGCTGGCTAGTCAGTCCCAACAGAATAAATTCAGTTACCTCCGTGCCATTGCATTTGGGATCTATCTTCATCTTCATAGTCTCTAATAAGAAAAGAAGAATGTGCCAGATACAAAAAGAGAAATAAATTATATGCAATCTAAGAATAGGCAAAATCAATGAGCACTGAAACAAACTAGTGTTGCAAAGAGAATTGCAAGCAATATTTCCCTTAGAGATGGAAAAGTCTCGATAGATGCTTTCAGGTAGTTTGTGGCTCTGGTTAAAGCAGACAATACAGGAGATTTTGAGGTTTATGCACCAAATTGTGCTGGCTGTTTTGGCTTCTTCCACCTCAACTCTGCTAACACATATGGGATTTGATGTAGCTTACTGGTGTCCCTAAATAGGCTGTGGAATCAGGATCCTTTATCCTCAAAAAGGCGACCACCACAGTCTGATAATGACACAAATGCTTGATCTGGGAACACGGCTAACGAGTAACTCCCTGTAGACTGGCTCCATCGTTGCCAGTAAAGGTAAACCTTCTGTGCATTGGAGGAACACATATTTCCTGAGTCTATGGTATGTATGCCTAGGTTCAGTTTCTTCCTCATTTCTTACTCCCCAGTAACAATGGACTTCTCCTGGTCCCTTGGTGTTCTGTCCATCCTAACGTTTTTTGTCCAAAGCAACAATTGATGGATAATTTAGATTGTTTCTTCACCTAATATCCCCTTTCATTTCATAAATCTCATTTTATCTCACAACATCCCAATTTAGTTTATATTTATATTTCAATTTATCCTACACCTTTGACTTAACACTTTATATCTGACCCATCAGAAAGTCTTCTCAGGTCTATCTTCAAAAAATTACATAATAAATTTTAAACCCACTTTTCAGCATTTTCTTTGCTACCAGTCAGGTCTTAGATAAAATTATCTCTTGCTTAAGCTACTACAATAGCTCCTTCTTCTACTCTTGAAATTATCTGTTTTCCAACACCAGCCAGTTATATTTTATAAACATAAATCACAACCTATTACAAATTTGGTAAAAGGGTTCAAGATTTTTCATCACACATGGGCTAAAATCTGAACTTCTCGCCAGGACACACAAGGACCTACGTGACGTCTTCCCACCCGTGTCTCCAAATTCTTCTCTTTCCACTTTCTCTTCTGTCCTTCTTCTCCTGCTACCTTGACCTTTCTAGCTGTTCCTTGATCATGCTAAGAATATTCCTACTTCAGCTCCCTCTGCCCAATTCCTTCCCAGATTTTGAGTGATTCATTTCATCACTTCATTCTATTTCAAATACCTTTTTAATCATGAATCATGATTTATTTTTCTTTATATCATTTATCACTTCTGAAATCATTTACTTAAATATTCATTGTCTGTTCCCTCCAAAATGTTAGCTATATGAGCACAGGAACATCATTTGTGCCATATCCCCAGAACCTGGACTAATGCTTGAATCATAGTAGATTCACAGTAACCATTAATGTATGAATTAATGAGCTCACTTTGCCAACTCACATCAGCTGACATTTCATGGTATGCAGATCTCTTACCTTTCAGACGTTATCAGTAGAGACCAAGTTACTACAAAAAAATTCCAGCTACCATGTGAAGAATGTATGGAAGGGAGTGCAATTAGTGGTAGAGAGATCATTAGGGGCTTGTTTTAGTAACAAAGCTAGTGATAATGGTGCCTGAGCTAAAACTTAACATATTAATAGTTAAAACTTTCAGTTTGCACTGTTGGAAATTAGGTGGGAGTTGACTCAAGGCTACAAAAATGAGTTGTCTTTAATTACTATAGAAAATTTTGCAAGGATGAGAGGACACAGAATGTTCATACCTTTTAAGGAAAAACGATATTGCTTTATTTAGTTTATGTATCACATATTCACAAATCTAACATTTAGTTCAGTGGTTATCAGCCCTGGCTTCACATGAGAATCAAGTTGGAGTTTTTAAAAACACTGATACCTAGGTTCTAGCCCAACCCAGGTGGGACACACACACACACACACACACACACACACACAAATATATATGTAACTAGTATATATAATATATAGAATTAATAATGACATATATATATCTATATATAAAATATTATTTTAAGTTCCGGGATATATGTGCAGGATGTGCAGGTTTGTTACATAGGTAAATGTGTGCCATGGTGGTTTGCTGTACCTAACTGATATGATACTTTTTAACAAACTTTCATTCTATTGTAATGCACAGACAACATTGAAAGCTCTGAACAAGACAACTGAAATGGCCTGTTTGTATTAAACAAGATTTTTTTTCACGTGATTTTACCCCGATAGCTTACACTTTCCCCTTACAGTAGATTCTGAGATATTGTCCCACAAAGTCTTTTTTCCAGCCCCCAAATATAGAACTTGCCATCATCAATGCATATAAAACTTTCCTTCATTGGTTTGGAATAAAGTATCCCACTATCTGATGTTATCCCTTACAGTATTCTGTTGGTGCTAGAAAGCTTAAGAAAAGAAAATCTTTCTGAGAGGCTTCATGATCCTATCTCAAGTCTTCTCACACCCAAGAAACAGAGGGCAAAGGATGAAATTATAGAGGGTTACACCATCCAATTGTTGATTACATACAGCCCAGGGTTTGATTTATGGGATACATATGAAAAGAGTGTTTCCTATATATCACCAGTTGTGAAAGTAGACCTTGACATAGTTATGTTTCAAGTTATGAGCTAATGTGGGGAATGGGAAAAAAGGGCTATGTTATAATTCCCAGTAAAATGTTCACACTTTTAAAAATGCCATTGCAGATGGTTTGTGGTGAATGACGTCTAAGATATTTTCATTCACACATCACATACCATAACCCACAGTAACATGGGCCAACACCAGATGGACATATCTCATATTGTTGAAAATTCCAACAGCTTTCACTTTTCATTCAGTGGTGTTCTGTCACGTCAGGAGAGAGATGAGTAAGAAAATGGGAAGAATAAAGAGAATAATCATTAAATATATGAAATTATTCTATTTTAAATAATGGAACTATTGGAAAGAAACCAAACTATGCTTAGGGCAGGGAAGAGTTAAAGCTCTGTGTACAATGCAGGAGGAAAAAACACAACTTCAAGCCATGCAGAGTATTTTCTGAAAAATTCTGCCAAGTGGGACACATCAGGTGAAAGCTCCATAAATCCATAGCAGTGTTGGCAAAGGACAGAAAAATGTATTCTCTTGGAACAAAATAATGCAAACCTATTTTTCTTTTTCTTTTATGTATTTATTTTTTTTGAGATGAAGTTTCTCTCTTGTTGCCCAGGCTGGAATGCAGCGGCACCATCTCGGGTCACTGCAACCCCTGCCTCCCTGGTTCAAGTGATTCTCCTGCCTCAGCCCCCGAATAGCTGGGATTAAAGGTGCCCACCACCACGCCCAGCTAATTTTTTTTGTTACTTTTGGTAGAGATAAGGTTTCGCTATGTTGGCCCGGCTGGTCTCGAACTCCTGACCTCAGGTGATCCACCCACCTCGGTCTCACCAAATGCTGGGATTACAAGCGTGAGCTCAGACACAGCATTGCCATCATATTCCAATGCAAAACCGAATTGAAGAAACCTAAGAAAAGCTCCTAGAAATGACGATGGAAATGTGTTCACTTTTTTTTTTCCTTCTCACCGTTAACCTTACCCTCATTTTTATCCAATTCTCTTGACACTCTCCTCTTAGTAATAATTGTATTAAGTAATTAAAGACATAGAAGAGTATATTTTCTTGTGCCAAATTCTAAGGCTCTAGTTCTGGAGAAGGTAAACAAGTTAGTGGAAAAATGTATGTTTTTGAATTCCAAGATTTGACTAAAACTCAACTTGTAAGCCTACTCTAAGTCTCAGCTGTGTCATGAATAATGGATCTGTAACTAATGAGAGGGCTATTTGCAGAGCCTGCCTGACCTCCTCGTATATCACTAGTTACCTGTTGTCTTCATCAGAGAGTCTGAGGCCTGTCTGTCTATGGTTTTGTTTTACCATGACAATTCTTATGGCCACTACTAATTTCATTTTATGTTCAAAAGAGGAAATAGGAAATCACACAAATTTCTTATGAGTTCTTGATTCTCAGAACTGTCAGACTTACTTGTGAAGGAATAGTAATTTCTTATCCTACTCAAAAGTCCCCAGTGTGGGAGGATTTATACTGAATGACTAATCTCGGTAGACTCATTCCTGAAGCATTAGATAAGAAACCCACAGGATATCATTAGGGCTCCCTCTGGAGGCGTTTACAAAAGTCACATCATAATGGATAGAATCCTAATTTAGATGTACATAGTATCTTTCAGTAAATGCAAAAACACTTGGTACAGATTTTGATGTTGGGATTAATTCTAGAGCAGATAGAAAGGTGTTCCATTCTTGGTAATCAAAAGACTTTTGCCGTGACTCTGCACATTATATCCTCAGCTAAAATAGTCTTTTGCTTTTCTGAAAACCTTTGTTGGTTTTTTCTGCCACTCTTGCAATATATGCTTTCTTTTATAACTATTCTATTACTCCTATGAATTGTAAATGCTCTGAGGATAAAGCTAACATCAATTTCATCTTGATAATTCCTATGGAAATCTGCACAACACTTTGGGTGTACAGTTAATATTTGGTGAAGGGTTATTGAGTAAATAACTGAACAGTGGTAATTAGTTTAAACAAAATTAGTTCAAGTACACTTACTGCCATGGGCTACTTATACAAAGATATGTATAATTTATGATTGCAGAGATATGTTAATTCATATAATGTTTAATCTTTGGGTCTGAAGTAGATTAACATTTGAAATCAAAGTCCTACTACTTCTGGGTCAGATTCATAATAATACTATTATAAATAAAAATAAAATAATATAATAGTATTATATCTTTCATTAGGGCTAAAACAATCTTCCTCTCCTGCGCTCTAGTACCGTTAATTTTTGACGTTAAAAAATGTAGATTATGACAGAGAGAAAATCCAAACCCAAGTCCTGGTTCTTCGGCCTGGACACACTAATGAATGGAGAGGAACAACAACAACAAAAAAACTTAGAAGCTTTCTCTGAGACAAGCTATCCCAATCTCCCTTGCCCAGGCTTTGGCCCTGAATCAACTTGTTGAGTAGCTAAAGCAAAGTCAACTTTGGGATTAGCTTATTTGGGCAGCTATGATCACAGCTATTTCCACAGTTTCTTCAGTTTCCATGTGGCATAGACAGTACTTAAACTTCCAAACTTCCAGCATGTCCCTAGTAGGTGAACATGCAAATAGCTAAGATTTGATGACCTGGACGTATTGCACCAGTGAAGCTGAGTCCTACACAGCTGACTTCCCAGGCCATTTCCGAATGGATATAAGGGGCAGACCTAAGGGAGGTCTGTAAGTCTTTAAAACCAAGGTGCAACTGGGTCATCAGGGAAGATAAGAAGGCTATGGCTATATTCAGCCAAGAGAGTGAAATGACTCTGAGGTACATTTATCATGGTGGATGACAGCAAAGCAAAACTGTCACCAGGCAGATTAGAGGTCAAGAAAGACCGGAGAGCAGCAACTGGATGCATTTCTAGGCCTCCCTTCCTTACCAATAGAGGCCTCGCAAGTTACAGAACGGAAAAAGGGATTAAAATTTTAATGACTGGATATTTACCTAAAGAGAAAGACAAACCAAAAGAGTTATTTCAATCATTGACCATTTTAAGTCCAAAGCTGCTTTGTAAAAGAAAGCCATAGATCACAAGTTCATGTAACATGTAATTGGGTCCTGACATATAGACACAAGCTTTTGCAACAATTAAAGTTTTGTTCACTATAAGTCTTTTTTGGAAAAGAGAGAGAAACATTCAAATTATTTACATACCAGTTTCCATTAGCATGTGAAGAACAAACAGAAACACTTTTCAGGGTGAACAAAATTCCTGCTACAGTTATAAAATCCTGCATATACTCTTTACTTTGTGATTCTGAAAAACACCGTTCTACCTGGTTTATTGAAATGTGTGAAAGCTCTAATGCAATGTTATTTTTTACATTTTGTAACACTTAAGTCATAAAGCCAAGCTATTCTCAAACCTTGATGAAACATGTTGGAAGAAATTATGTTTTAGTGTTTGGTGAAAACATTATGTTTCGTCACTTAAGGTGATAAATTGTACTCATTAAAGAACTTTGAAAGTTCACACACAGCCAATGGTTTAAAATGCACTAATTTAGATTCCCAATTCTCACAAAGGCCAGTTACTCTGGACCATTCAATCGCCAAAGAGGAAAACTGGGGGCATTCCCATCCCGGGATATGGGAAGTCCCCGAGCTTCCAGCCTGGTCCTTGTGGCCGAAAAATGGCATGTTTTGCTTTTGCTTTTGGATCCTGTTCGTGCCGCCAAAAATGTTCTGTGTGGGGAAAGTGCGAGGGGAGAGAAAAGACACGGACATGATACGTTTAAGGGTAAACAACGTTTATCCCATGTAAGTGGCCATGCAGATATAGTAAGCAAATGATATAATAATAAGCAAATGATATAATAAGCAGATTGATATAATAAGTAGATTGCAATGGAACGGGGAAAAGGGAAAATACATCTACATTCACCAGACTATGGAGGATTCAACAACAGACTGGGACGCAACAGCCTGGGCTCCAGAGTCAGATAGGTAGGCAAAGAGATCCTAGTTCTATACAGATACGTACCATGGAGCAGTTCCACTTTCCTAAGCACATTCAGTTGTGATAAAAATAGATGAGTTTCAAGGGCTGATACATTACATGCCACACTCAAAGTTGTGTTGTTAAACAAAGAATTACAATTTCAAATAAAAGCAATGTTTACAACCATGGGTTCAAGAGAAGTCTAAGTGAACACATATAATAAAGACTTGCAAAATAATAAAAGATAAGGCTCTTTAACTATCAAAAGACTTGCAGAAAAGAACCACAGAAAACCATTTTAAATATAACTGCCTTCGTATGTAAGAAATTCTACATTATTTTTGATGTTAAAACATCAATCTCATGCTTACTAGGCTATTTCTTAATGACACATGTATTTACAAATTTGAGAGAAGAGGAAGAAATATCAGGTGACACCACTGGGTTAATGCATAAATGACAAACCTAAATGCATTTTAATTTCCTTTTCTTTAAATCGAGCTGAGCTTCAGCCCCTTCTTTTTGTGGTGTTCTTAGTCATCTACCTTATCACAGTAATCACAATGTAAGCATGATCTTCTTTTTTTTTTTTAAGTGCACAATATTTTTAACTGTTAACAATATACCTATTGTTACCTATGGGCACAATGATATACAGCATATCTCTAGAATTTATTCTTGCAAAACTATAACTTTATACCTGCTGAACAGCAACACCCCATTTCTCCCTTTCCTCCAGCCGCTGCAACCACCTTCTATTCTCTGTTTCTATGAGTTTGACTATTTTGGATTCCTCATATAAATTTAATCATGCAGTATTTGTCCTTCCGTGCCTGGCTTATTTCACTTAACATAATGTCCTCCAGGTTCATCATATGACAGGATTTCTTCTTTTTCTTAATGATGAATAATATTCCATTACATGTGTGTACTACATTTTCTTCATCTTTCAATGGACATTTAGGTTGTTTCTATATCTGGACTATTGTAAATAATGGTGCAATGAACATAAGAGTACCTATGTCTCTTCAAGAGCTTGATTTAAATTCTTTTGGATATATGCCCAGAAGTGCAATTGCTGGTTTATATGATAATTCGATTTTTAATTATTTGAAGACTCATCATACTGTTTTTTATAGTGGCTGCACAATTTTATATTCCCACCAATGTTGTACAAGGGTTCCAATTTCTTCATATGTCACCAATATTTGTTGTCTTTTGGATTTTTTTAAAATAAAGTAACAGCCATCATAACAAATGTGATATCATGCTTTTGTTTCATATGCATTTTCCTGATGATTAGTGTGTTGAGCACCTTTTCATTTTTATTTATTTATTTATTTATACTCTAAGTTCTGGGATACATCTGCAGAACACGCAGGTTTGTTACATAGGTATACATGTGCCATGGTGGTTTGCTGCGCCCATTAACCTGTCATCTACATTAGGTATTTCTGCTAATACTATCCCTCCCCCAGCCCCCGACCCCCTGACAGGTCCTGGTGTGTGATGTTTCCCTTCCTGTGTCCATGTGTGTGAGCATGAGCTTCTTAATAAGAAGTGATTCAACACTACACACTCCAATGTGCTTGTTCCTCAGTCATCTCTCCTTTGTAGATCTCTATTATGCCACCAATGCCACTCCTCCGATGCTGGTTAACTTTTTTTTTCCAAGAGAAAAACCGTTTCCTTTATTGGTTGCTTTATCCAATTTCACCTTTTCATTGCACTGGTGATCACAGATTATCATATGCTCACAGTGATGGTGTATGACCACTACATGGCCATCTGCAAGCCTTTGTTATATGGAAGCAAAATGTCCAGGTGTGTCTGCCTCTGTCTCACTGCTGCTCCCTATATTTATGGCTCTGCAAATGGTCTGGTACAGGTCATCCTGATGCTTTGTCTGTTCTTCTGTGAACCCAATGAGATCAACCACTTTTTTTTTTTTGGAGAAAATGCATTATATGCACATTTAATTCCACTATAAATTTTTGAATGGACGGTTGGAGAGGAAGGGAGAAATACATATTAACGGAGAGAATACCACCCAGAAAGTATATACAATGGGAGAAAGGAACCTGTTGATCCAAGTTTCCATATTCTTATTATGGCATATAAGGTCATGATTATTTTCTCAGTATGAAGCATCTCCCAGGGCTGACTCTGATGTAAAATTGGAGATCAACCACTTTTATTATGCAGAACCACCCCTCTTAGTCCTCGCCTGCTTGGATACTTATGTCAAAGAAACTGCCATGTTCATGGTGGCTGGTTCCAACCTCATCTGCCCTCTCACTATCATCTTTATTTCCTACACTTTCATCTTCACAGACATTCTGCATATCTGCACTGCTGAGGGAAGGTACAATGCCTTCTCCACCTGCGGGTCCCTTGTGACTGCCGTCACTGTCTTTCAAGGAACGCTGTTTCACATGTGCCTGAGGCCCCCTTCTGAGGCATCTGTAGAACAGGGGAAAATTGTAGCTGCTTTTTATATCTTTGTGAGTCCTACGTTAAACCCATTGATCTACCGTCTGAGGAATAAAAATGTTAAAAGAACAATAAGGGAAGTTATCCAAAAGAAACTGTTTGCTAAGTAAGGTAGATATTTTAGTTGCAGGTTATGTAATACATTATTTTTATCTTACCAATTAACGAGCATTATAAATTAACAAATCACTTTCTGTCATTGAGTGTTTTTTGTCTTTTGTAACTTGCATATGGGAATTGAAAGTGTATACCAAATTATTAGCTAGAGTTGACAGTGTCATCTCAGTGAATTTAAGAAGAAATCATAGAAATTTAAATAGAAGACTTATGGCATGTAAAAGTCAATAAAGAACAGTGATTCCTTCTTTAGTACTCATATTGGTAGCAAACGATAAAAGACAGAATGCAATGGAAATTACAGTTCATTACATTTTTATAGTACTTAATAACTTCCAAACTATTTTCTAGACACCTTTCAAACATAGTATATGAAGTTTTCTCCTTTCTTTTATACAGATAATGCAACAATAAAGATCACTGATGTAGGGAAAAGAGAGATCAGACTGTTACTGTGTCTATGTAGAAAAGGAAGGCATAAGAAACTTCATTTTGACTTGTACCCTGAACAATTGTTTTGTCCTGAGATGCTGTTAATCTGTAACTTTGCCCCAACCTTGAGCTTATAAAAACATGTGTTGTATGGAATCAAGGTTTAAGGGATCTAGGGCTGTGCAGGATGTGCCTTGTTAGCAGAATGTATACAGGCAGTATGCTTGGTAAAAGTCATCGCCATTCTCCAGTCTCCATAAACCAGGGGCACAATGCACTGTGGAAAGTCACAGGGACCTCTGCCCTGGAAAGCCGGGTATTGCCAAGGTTTCTCCCCATGTGATAGTCTGAAATATGGCCTCGTGGGATGGGAAAGACCTGACCGGCCCCCAGCCTGACACCCGTGAAGGGTCTGTGCTCGGGAGGATTAGTAAAAGAGGATGGCCTCTTATAGCTGAGATAAGAGGAAGGCCTCTGTCTCCTGCCTGCCCCTGGGAACTGAATGTCTCGGTATAAAACCTGATTGCACCTTTCTTCTATTCTGAGATAGGAGAAAAACCGCCCTGTGGCGGGAGGCGAGACATGTTGGCAGCAATGCTGCTTTGTTATTCTTTACTCCACTGAGATGTTTGGGTGGAGAGAAGGAAAAATCTGGCTTACGTGCACATCCAGGCATAGTACCTCCCCTTGAACTTATTTGTGACACAGATTCCTTTGCTCACATGTTTTCTTGCTGACCTTCTCCCTATTATCACCCTGTTCTCCTACCACATTCCTCTTGCTGAGATAGTGAAAATAGTAATCAATAAAAACTGAGGGATCTCAGAGACCGGTGCCGATGCAGGTCTTCCATATGCTGAGCGCCGGTCCCCTGGGGCCACTGTTCTTTCTCTATACTTTGTCTCTGTGTCTTATTTCTTTTCTCAGTCTCTCATCCCACCTGACGAGATATACCCACAGGTGCAGAGGGGCAGGCCACCCCTTCAATTGAAGTATATCTCAGAATACTACTTTGAGATACAGTCTTAGAATTATATTTTGAGCCAATGAAATCTTCTTTCTTGAAGCTTTTGAAGCAATGCCAAATTTCCGTTAGTAGGCTTTATAAATATCATTGTTTGCATTACCAGGAGGCATTCACATCAATATGTGACCTCACTTCTCCACTCTTTCATTGCCATTGAAGCAGATACTTTCAAGTATGTCTTAATATATTGATTTTTATCTTCTCATTGGGGGAACATGGGAAGTGTCACATGTGGGACTACACCGTAATTTGGGTATTTGTAGTCTTAAGGTTTTCATGAAGCTTCGTGTGGGCCTCCATTTCTCTAGAACGATTTGATGTGTTCGTTTTTTATCCTTCACAGCAACACATGCTTAGGCAGATGAATCACTGCAGCAGCATTTAGACACATTTGTGATTCAGGGATAGATAGCTCTTCAGTAGGATGGTGTGAATTTTGGGATAATGGCACATACTTAAAACAGAACTACCTTTTGACCCAGCAATCCCATTACTGGGTATATACACCAAGGAATATAAATCATTCCACCATAAAGACACATGCATGTGTATGTTCATCACAACAGTATTCACAATAGCAAAGACATGGAATCAACCTAAATGCCCTTCAACAGTAGATTGGATACAAAAAAATGTGGTATATATACATCATGGAATGCTATGCAGCCGTAAAAAAAAAGAATGAGATTATGTCTTTTGTAGCAACACGGATGAAGCTGGAGGACAATATCCAAAGCAAACCAATGCAGGAACAGGAAACCAAATGCTGCAAGTTCTCACTTACATGTGGAAGCTAAACATTGAATACACATGGACACAAAAAAGGGAACAACAGGCACCAGGACCTACTTGAGGGTGAAGTGTGGGAGGAGGGTAAGGATTGAAACTCTGCCTATCAGGCACTGTGCTTATCAACTGGGTGATGAAATAACCTGTACACCAAAACCCTGTGACATGGAATTTACCTTTATAACAAAGCTGCACATGGACCCCTGAACCTAAAATAAAAGTTAAAAAAAGAAATCTGTCCCAAGGAGACTGTTTTCTCTTAATGTGCTGCATCCTGCTTAATGAACTATGGATTTCATGCATTCTTTTTCAAGATTATATTGCCTACCTGATTGTAGACAGTTTGATGCATTTTACATAGTATCAGTTAAACATTAAACATAATTAAGAGCATTTGGCTTCAAAATAATAGTAAATGGGTAGAATTTATTATGGTTATAGTACTACTCATACAAATAATAATACAACATCAGTGATGTAGTGTCTAGTGAGCATGACACTATTATAGAACACTTCTTAGGCTGGATTTTGATAATAATAGCATGCTATAACTTTTGAATAAAAATAGTAAATTGAATAATCACAAACAAGTAAAAATCTAAAGGGCCAGTAGTATGTATTCAACTAGCTTACCAGTGTATCATTTGTGTAGCTAAATCCATTCGCTGTCCCTCTAGCAGACACACATGCTAGTTATTGCAGTGGAAGAAAAATGAAATGAACTAAGGAATTAATGTCTTTGAGTAATATAAACAGAGCCTTCTGGAGGTTTTCTATGAAAAATAACATAAGTATGTGTAAAACTCTTCTTTGAGTAAGTATCATACACATAGCTAAATTCTGTATTTTCTATTCATTGCTGTATAAATAAATTAACATTGCCTTCTTTCGTGTGGACATCTGATCATGTGATTCCATACTTAAAATTACATATACTTTGCTCTTTCTAAATGAAAATAGCCCATTCATCTATACTTTTCATCTAACCATTCAGTTATTATAGGGCTAGTTTTATTTTTGTCAGAAAATTCACTTTGTAAATCTTATGTTTTATTATGTAGCCATTGTATACCAACATATAAAAGAAAATACATACATACATACACACATACATTAGGGAATTTTTTCTTCAAAGTGAAAGCAGTCTACTTAAAAATTATCCAAATCTTCAACATTTTTATGCAAAACAAGGTACCTCTACATTAAGGGAGGAGGAAATGAGGGACACCAGTTTTATAATCTTATGATACCTTATATTCCATCTTAATTTTTTTTTTTGAGATGAAGTCTCGCTCTGTCACCCAGGCTGAGGTGCAGTGGTGTAATTTTGGCTCATTGCAACCTCTGCCTCCTGGGTTCAAGCAATTCTCCCTGCCTCAGCCTCCTGAGTAGCTGGGATTACAGGCACGCACCACCAAACCTGGCTAAGTTTTGTATTTTTAGTAGAGACAGGGTTTCGCCATGTTGGCCAGGCTGGCCTCAAACTCTTGACCTCAGGTGATCTAGCGGCCTTGGCCTCCCAAAGTGCTGGGATTATAGGCAAGAGCCACCGTGCCCGGCTTCCAAAATATTTAAGCAATATTATTGCATTTTACAATTTTAGTAATGCAAGGAACCAAAATAAAACAGAATAATTGAGATAGAGAAGACTTTACACATCAATTTGAAATAAACATATAGGAATGCCCTATATTCTCAAATTTCATGGGATGTAACAAATCTACATTTTGATTTTGATATATAGCTATATTTTATTAAATGATTTCTCGGAGTATAACCCACCACCCGCAACTCTAATAAAATTAGGGATGATTCTCCGTCTTGGTCAGACTGTACTTTGATCCATTTGTGCTAACCTGGAACTATATGTGCACTGGAAGATACAGACTAATGAACGCATCTCTAGGTCCCTTTGTCCTCCAACAAATACAGTGCTACACAATTTTCAAATATTCTCATTCTATTTGCAATTCCCTTTCTAAATCAACAATTTTATGCATCATCAATTTTATAAATAGCCCTGGTTCTGAGACCTTTGATGATTAGCATGTTAATATTAACCTTGATAGTGCAGACTAGTTCCAAAATAAATCCATAACGCCCGTCCTCCAAAGGATCCTGGGCCCTGACCAATACTTCTGCCTCCTTCTACTGATTATGCCACTCTTCTGCTCTCACAGTCTTTGAAATCTTTCATCTTCTCAAATGTCTCACCTGCCACAACTTCCTACCCCTCACTCATTAGATGACCTCACTGCAGTGTTTATAGGCAAAAGCTGAAGAGTTCTGATGAGAATTCCTTGTTTTCATCATACTAAAAAGGCAGAAGTTATCTACCCATGTTTTCCTCTTCCATGTTATTGAAAGGGATGGCTAATTTCTCTGTTTGTACTAAGGATCTCATGCACACTTGTACCGAAACTCTACATAAATGTAAAATAGGAATTTTATCCTCGCAGGAGAGTCTAGCTCCAGGAAGCATCAAATGAAGGTTATGCTCTTGAGGAACAAAGCATATTTTAATTGGCTCTTTAGAATTAGTTTAAAAATACTCTAGGGAAGATACCTAATAAATATATTGTAAATCTTGCTACCTTGTTTTCATAAGATATGGTCCATTAACATTAACAGGTAGGTCATTTTCTACATTTGTTCACTAAAAATACAATTTGTGTGTGTGTGTGTGTGTGTGTGTGTGTGTGTGTGTGTGTAGAGATAAGTATTCCATCAATGGGGAAAACAAATATTTTCTCCAATTTCACTAGACTTTTCTATCCATATGTTAGTATTGCATTGACTCTCTACAATCAATTATATGTAAGCTCTTTTGATGTATACATGAGAACTAAATAAACAATGGCTTTAAGGTGGAATTTTTGGAGTAGAAATTTTTACAATCTTATGTTACTTTCAAAGAGAACTGAGAGAGAGTGGCTTGAGTTGGAAGCTAAGACCCCTTTTAAAAATTATCTGTGCATACCTAAACAATATTGTCATGAGTGGGTTAGTGGCACAAAAATGGGAACAAAAAAAATCCACACTTTCCCCAAATAGTAGAATTGCATATCTGCTGTTTAAATGCTGCATTCCTAGAAAGATCTTCTTTGAGTGGTCATCTAAAAGCATCCTACATTCATGTTTTCTTCACAGAAAAATGGTTTGCCTGAAATTGTATGTAACTTTTTCTGTGTGTTTAATCTCTGTTCCCTCTATTATAATGTGTGCTCTGCTCCCTCTATTATAATGTGTGCTCCCTGAGCTGGGAGACTTGTTTACTGTAGTAACCGCAGGAATTGGAACAGAAAGAAATGAAGCTATACAGTATACATGAGTAAACAGGCAGTGACATTACAAAGTGGAAAAAAACAAGTCTTCATTTTGTACCCTCTTAGCCATATATCAGATAGAAATTAATTTCTCTAGTTTAATCGTTCCTGAATAAAGGTAAGGCACACAGCTATGGGTCTTAATTGAAAATGCTTTGCTTTTCTTTCTTCATTTTGTATCTGAAACAATACAATATCAGAGCTGGAGGTATAATAAAGATCAGACTTCCTTTATTTATCCATTTGAAAGATGCAAATAACCTAGGGTTTTTGTATTTAATTTTCATTCCTTTGGATTTTTTGTTTCCTCACGAAGTTTGAATAAAATTACCAAATGTGGAGTACACCAAGAAGACAGGTATAAATGTAGGAATGAATAAACTTATGTATGTATACATGTATGGCAGAGAGAAATAGAGAATATGTATGTTTGTGTAAGTTATGTGGGTTTGATGTATAGAAAGATACAGATTAAAACAGACATATAGGGAGACAATGTTATGTAAAATTTCCGATGTGATTATTGAAACAAGAGAAGTAATTGTCACCTAGATAAATAGATGAATGAGCGAATGATAAATGGATGAAACAAATGCCAAATCTGAATCAGAGAGAAATCCTCACATTCTTTGTCACTTTCAGTTTCAAGAGATAAGAAGATGTTCTCCCCAAACCACACCATAGTGACAGAATTCATTCTCTTGGGACTGACAGACGACCCAGTGCTAGAGAAGATCCTGTTTGGGGTATTCCTTGCGATCTACCTAATCACACTGGCAGGCAACCTGTGCATGATCCTGCTGATCAGGACCAATTCCCACCTGCAAACACCCATGTATTTCTTCCTTGGCCACCTCTCCTTTGTAGACATTTGCTATTCTTCCAATGTTACTCCAAATATGCTGCACAATTTCCTCTCAGAACAGAAGACCATCTCCTACGCTGGATGCTTCACACAGTGTCTTCTCTTCATCGCCCTGGTGATCACTGAGTTTTACATCCTTGCTTCAATGGCATTGGATCGCTATGTAGCCATTTGCAGCCCTTTGCATTACAGTTCCAGGATGTCCAAGAACATCTGTGTCTGTCTGGTCACTATCCCTTACATGTATGGGTTTCTTAGTGGGTTCTCTCAGTCACTGCTAACCTTTCACTTATCCTTCTGTGGCTCCCTTGAAATCAATCATTTCTACTGCGCTGATCCTCCTCTTATCATGCTGGCCTGCTCTGACACCCGTGTCAAAAAGATGGCAATGTTTGTAGTTGCAGGCTTTAATCTCTCAAGCTCTCTCTTCATCATTCTTCTGTCCTATCTTTTCATTTTTGCAGCGATCTTCAGGATCCGTTCTGCTGAAGGCAGGCACAAAGCCTTTTCTACGTGTGCTTCCCACCTGACAATAGTCACTTTGTTTTATGGAACCCTCTTCTGCATGTACGTAAGGCCTCCATCAGAGAAGTCTGTAGAGGAGTCCAAAATAACTGCAGTCTTTTATACTTTTTTGAGCCCAATGCTGAACCCATTGATCTATAGCCTACGGAACACAGATGTAATCCTTGCCATGCAACAAATGATTAGGGGAAAATCCTTTCATAAAATTGCAGTTTAGGCTTGTGTTTATTTGCAGTCACGAATTGCTTGTGGAGTAACAAACTGGCTTTTGAAATGGAAAAACCTAGTGTAGTCGTGATTTATTTAACATCATGGACTGTCAGTAACCACTTTACTTTCTTATCCAAATGAAAACCTTGAAGATTGATTTCTTAGAAATAAAAGCCTTAATGTTGAGAAATTTAAAATGTTTTATTTGTCAGAAATTCTATGAAAATAAATTTTTTAGTATCTAATAATTCTATATGAAAATACTATGTTTACTTACTTGGGGGGTGGGTAAATTTTTAACTAACTTAGGCTGAGAGAAATTCTGAAAATTCATCTCCTTTGAATATGATGGTCCACAGAGCCATAATGAGGTTCAAGATAGGGTGGATAATTTTACACTTTTTAAAAAATGAAATTATTTCTACTTCAATATGGTGTCTTGAACAATAGCTCAGCTACCTTTGTGCTTATTGTAATCAATGTGCAAAAAATATAAATATATGGGTCACTGATACGTTAAATTTGCTGTAAGTGTTCCCCAAACCCATCTTGTAAATATCTTGAGAAGCTTCTTTTTTGTTCATATGATAATACTGGTTATCGTCCTTGATTCTGAAAATCAACTCTCAACACCTTTTTATGAGTTTCCAAGTGTATGGATCCAATTCTATCATCAAACTACTTTAACTGCATTCCAGTTATGTTTTCCAGTGCCGTACCTCTGACTTAGGACTAATTCAGTAGGAGTCAATAGGGTCTATTAACTGCCCTGTGCATACCCACAAATGTCTTGAAACAGTATACAAATAAATAGGGGTGTATATATGTTTCTGGAGGAAATACTCAGTGTTTATTTTGCTTCATGAAGCTTTCTGTGGCCCATTATTTTTAAAATAAGGGTGTTCTAGTAGTTCTTGAAGCTGCTATAGAGAAAATCAATCTCAGAGAGGCTACCTAAGGAGACACATTAATCCATGCATTATTAGTCAACCAGATGACTGCATATTGATACATATGTATTTAGCCCTAATAAATTGCCTCATATGTTTGGCATTTTAATATTTTGCACTCTGATATTAACTAACACCATACAGAATATGCTACAGAAAATGTCTGTATGATATCAACTACTATATCTACTATAAAGTGTTCAAATGGTTTTCCAGAATATTAAGCAGATGACTTGCAGTTTTTGTAAAATGGGGGCATATTCTTGAGTCTCATTTGATTAAGTCTGTTTCTAGCCAAATCCTCTTTCAGAAACAGTATCTGAAAAAGAAGGAAGGCAAATTTCGGTGACAAGAATTTAACAATTACATTTTAGCACTGTTTGTTTTTGTATTTGCTTGGTTTTGGCAATGATGGTGGGACAACAGAGGAAGGTCATCTGCAGAGACAACAATGAAGCAGAAAAGCTGGGAATTGAGTGACACAGAGTCCTCACTTCCTTTTTGAGGGCCAGCATCATTTCATCGGTGGGGTATTTCTTTATTTTATGAGAAATTTCCATCTATTAGGCAAAGCATTGTATTCCATTTCTGGCAAGCAGAATGGTCTCATATCCAGATTTGAAACCCTATTTGAAAATTGGATTTTAGAATGAGTGCAAAAAATACTCTATATTTGGCCTAAATAACTGTACGATTCCATTTATTTTCTAGTTATGAGAATTGCTCTGGCTTGCAGCAACCATTTTTAAACTTTGACATCCTTTTAGTCAAAATGACTGACCTGTTTCTAATTGATTTTTAATAAAATATTTTATTTATTTCTATTTGTGATTTAATTTTTTCCTTCTGCATGTCTTTGGGTAAAAGTCACCTCAGAAATTCTTTGGAGATAGGATAGAACATAAATCGACATGAATAAAAGTAATTATAAGAGTTGCAGTCACAGTGTAGTGCTGATTTTAGGAACACTTTATTTTAATCTTCATAAATGAAATAATGAGAGAATTATTATCTCCATTTACAACATTGGAGCCTGAGGCACGGAGAGATTAAATTTCTTGCCCAAAGTCATTTGGCCACTCAGTAGGACAAAAGCAGGTTTCTTGGTTTCAAATTCTCTCTCTTTCTAATTCATACTGTAGTTGTTATTAAAGAAATTCTCAAAACACTGCAAATGCTTGGTGGAATGTTGGAGATTATGAATTGATGAGATTATTGCTATAGATGAAATAGTGGTTATTATGTGATAGTTATATGTATCCTAAGAATAGCTAATGAGAATTTCCCTTGAAAATTCCGGTTAACATAATTTATAGGCATTATAATTAAAATTGTCTTAACGTCCATGTGAAGGGAGAAAATTTTGATATACAGAAGACATATATGCTATTTAGGCTGCATTTTATTAATATATTTTCCCAGTCGCAAAGGCATACATATTCATATTAATTAATTACCAGGTACAGACAAATATGAGGGAGTAAAATTTATGAGGGATCTGTCCTGTGACAAAGGATACATTTTCTTTATATTTTGTTACATTTCTTCTCAATAAGTTTATATGCGTACATGTTACTAAAATGCATCAAGCAAATGTGAAATCACTTATCATATACAAATTTGAACACTGATTTTCACTTGATATAATGTATGCACCTTTATATAGATTAAATATTTCTGATGAACATCATGTTGAATGTCATATAATAGTTAGATCATATGACCTTAATACAATAATAATACATATCAATTGTAGAAAACTGACTGAACCATATTGACATACATAAGACATAGAAGCAACATTTACTTATAATCACCTACCTGAAGAGAGCTGAACTCAGCATTCACTTGTGTTTTATTCCATTTGATTATCTTGCAAACCATGATTCCATCATATCAATGTATCTTAGTGTTTTTATGACTGATGTATCTGTGCATCTCTAATTGTTCCTTTTGTGTATGTTCCCAGAAGTGGAACTGCTGAATTAAATGTTTTCAATGCTTTTGAAACTCCTGCTAAATTTTTCTATGGGTAAATTTTTCTCCAGAAAGCTTCTAGCAACTTAAACCTGTACTAGTAATATTTGAGAATAATCATTTCACTATAACTCTATCAGTAGTAGGAGCTCTTGTTTATGGTTATTTGCTTCTTTGATGTCTCAAGGGAAGTCTTAGAAAATAATTCTGTTCTAATAAGCACAGAATAAAAATTGAAGCATATATTGAACAAATGAAGGCTACACATAAGGTTGATAATTTCTCTTCATGCTATTGCTGATAATTTCTTGCATGAATAATGTTTGTATTTCTATTTGGAAAAATGTGACCTTTTGCTTATTGCTGTTATGTAAGTTTTCCTCATCCTAAAATTGAAAAAACAAGCACTTATATTCATTGCAATATTTGATAGTGATATCAGGAATTATTTTAGATATAATACATTTTTGTACTGTGTTGTAATATTAAAAATTATCTTTTCCCTCTTATTTTTAACCAATTTCCTCCCACTATTTATTAAGCAATGCTTTGTTTTTCAACTGATTTGTGATGTCACCTTTATTATACCATAAGTGAATCTATTTCTGCCTATTTCCTCTTTATGTTTGGCCACAATATACATATATTTTAAACTAAATTCGTATGATTAGTGTACACTTAAAATATGTTTTAATTTCTGATGGAAAAATGTTATCTTCACTTTTCTCTTAGGAGACTGCAAATCATCTGATGATTGCTTTTAGATATCCAGTATTTTTAACCCATAAATTATGCATACTATTGTTCAATTTAGAAACTATATGCATACTTTATATATGCAAATATATATTTCAATGTGGCTATACATGAAATACTTAAACACTGTAAATTATTTGAAAAACAATGAAAACTATTTTCCTCTCTATGGGGGCCATAGGAAAACTGCTTATTGTTAAGTTTGTTTTCCAGAAAGGCAGGAAAACGTTGGTGGCCTGTGAGTAAGGAGAAAACACTTAACCTTGGTATATTAATTCTATCGATTCATTAACAACTTTATACAAACATTTATTTTTATACCATACCGGCGTTCATAATAAAACACTTTTTTTCAACAAATATCTCTAAATACAGATTCTTTTCTCTAACTATGCTGACTTTTTGCCAACAACTCCACCCAAAAGAGTTGACATGCCCACATATATTCTTCTGCTAGGAATCATTTCAAACACTGAAAAAACCCTATTAATTAGAATTAAAATAAATATTAAACATTTAAATAATCAGAGAAAAATTACTCTGTGCTTCCTAAGAATGGGAATACTTCACAGTAATACTGTTGCTTTAATTTGACAATAAAACTATTTAAAAATAAGACCCACCCTACAGTCTGGCAATGTATTTGTCACAAATAAGACAAAGTGGCACAATTACTGAAATATGTTATGTTAATATAAATCATTTGAAGCACTAAAACATGACCATATAAATAAATGTTGAATACTATACGTAGAAAATTGATTAAAATACAAAATGCTAAAATTAACGCAGAAAATAGTGGCAGCTAAAAACATGAAGTACAATACTGTTTATGTGTCTATATTTAAGACAGCTGAAAAAGTCTAGCACGTTCATACATTGGTTGATTAATGGTATAAAATTTTTCTAGAAATAAATACAATATTATTAATATTTTAAGGAGTCAAATGTTTCTATAATTTTATTCAGCTATTCCAAATTTAAGAATCTACTGAAGGCATAATTAGAAACTTGTGTGAAGAGTTTCATGGTGTTCATTTTATAATCAAGAAAAAGCAAACAAATGATGTTCGAAATACAAGTAGCTCCCACTTAGCACCGTACCATGTAACAGAAACCTTTCTATATGGCAAACGTGTCTTGTTTTGCATGGTTCTTACTTAGATATTACAAAATCTCAAAGTGAGGACTGCCTGCTTTGGATAACTGGTAAAGCACAGGCATCTACCAGATGGGGTAGAAGGTGTTTCTAAATAACTAGAATGTCATCAGCCTTGATCATGAAGGAAAGTGTAAAGTACAGTTTAATTTTTTTTTCTTAGAATGTTATACAGCTATTAAAGTGAGGATGTTCCTAGTTAAGAAAAAGGTAAATCATTTTGTGTAATATATTATGTGCAAAGACATATCCAATGCTACATATGGATATCTTGTAAAATATCAGGGATAAAGAGAAACAAAACTTATTAATAGCTATGTCCAAATTTTCCATGATAAGCAATTGTTGCTATTACATTGAGAAAATAAGCTAACAAAAACTTTGTATGCCCAGTTTAATTCAGATCTCAGGATATATAATTACAGGATGCTTATTTATAATAGTAGAATTTAAAAATAAAAGTAGGAAAAAGCAAGGAGTTAAAAACTTGTTGTAGAGCGTGATGGCAGAAGAGGAGGTGCTCAGTTCTGGTTTCCAGAACAGAATGACCAGTTAGCAACTTCTCACAGATAAGAATGCCTAGGTAAAAATTCCATAACCCAAGGGTGAGGTGGGGCACACTCTTGGAGCACAGAAACTGGGAAAAGTCATATTAGAAGTGTAAGGGGAGCAGTTTCACTTTGACTGTGTTGCTTCTTTCCCGACCAAACAGTGTCACACTGAAAGGGATTTCTTGGGCCTGTGTTCTCTAGTGGAGAAAAGAGAGCCCATGGCAGACATCCAACTTCCCTGTGTTCCAGGGCACTTCCCAAGGGGCCTAGTTCTGTCTAATCTTGTGGGGAATAATGGAGGAATTGGCAGGGCTTGACCCCTTATGGTCAGTTCATAACTACCTCCTTCTACAACCCATTCTGTATTCCCTTTACCTTCAGCAAGCACCTTAGCAGGACACGGTTTTTTACCTGGTGGAGTGACACAAATCTTCATTCCTGATGGGTCTGGGCCATTTGTAGTTTTGCCTGGATTGGGTTGTTGTAGTTTCTCACTGACCTTAATCACAGGACATGGTAATACTGTGACGTCCTATGGGATCTCCTGTATTCCACAAATACTCTTCCTTAACCTCCATTGTGGAGTAGTAGTTTGATTTCATCTTGATAGTCTGGGTCAGTCACCCCAGCCAACACTGTACCTCCCTTCTTAGCCTGTTGACTTAGAGGCAGGAAGAGCTCAAAGTGGCCAGGTGGCAAACTTATCTTCCAGTTTGATGGAATCATCTTTCTGTCTTCTGGTGGCAAAGTTCCTCCCTCCGGAACGAAGACCTCTAGGCCCACAGAACATAATGTCACAGAAACAGGAAGGAAAATTTTGCTAGTGGGTCAGTAGAGGTGATGGTAAGTGGCACCACTTCCACTTCCACCCCTTGATTCCTGCATTCTTGGATCCTGGCTATGGAAGAAACAGTACCACATATTGGATGCCTACTCAGAGCATACAAAGACTTCTGGAGAAATTTGCCCCAGGCCTGCATTTTTTTTTTTTTTTTTTGTAAAATGAAGTCCTGCTGTGTCTTCCAGAGGCCTATAGTGCAGTGGCACGATCTTGGGTCACTGCAACCTCTGCCTCCCAGGTTCATGCGATTCTCTTGTCTCAGCCTCCCGAATAGCTGGGATTACAGGCATGTGCCACCACGGCTGGCTAACTTTTGTATTTTTAGTATGGATGAGGGTTCACCATGTTGGCTAGGCTGGTCTCGAACTCCTGACCTCAAGTGATCCACCCGCTTCAGCCTCCCAAAGTGCTGGGATTACAGGCATGAGCCACCGTGCCCAGCCCCTGTAATAAAGTATCACCTAGTTGTTGTAACTGTTACTTCAAAAGGCTTTTCCACCTTTCTATCAATCCATCTGCTTTAGGATAATGGGAAACATGGTAAGACAAGTATATCCCATGAGCATGAGCCCACTGTCTTATTCTTTAGCTGTAAAATGAGTGCCTTGGTCAGAGGCAATGGTCTGTGGAATACCATGACAGTGGATAAGGCATTCTGGGAGTCCACGAATGGTAATCTTGGCAGAAGCATTGCATGAGAGATAGGTAAACCTATATCCAGAGGAAGTGTCTAATTTGACTAATCCACTCTAGAATTCTAATCACCCAAAGCTTTTGGATTCCTCCCTCTACATTAAACCAGGGAAGATCTGGCATTTCAAGGTCGCTCACAGTAGGCCATCCTTTGATCCATATTTCAGCTAATAAACTATTAGAACATTTTTTAACTCCCTGATTTGTAACATTGAGTGCAGAATCTCTGCTTAGTGGGCCCATATCAATACATTCAGCCTGATCCAACTTTATATTCCTCCCACCATTATCCCACACCCTTAATATCCATTCCTACACCTGTTCTCCAGAATTCTGCTTATATAAACTAGAAAACTCAAGCAGCTCTTTTAGGGTGTAGCACACCTCCTTGTAGACTTTTGGCTTACACCAACTAGCACCAGATCTTGGAAGGAGAAAAGGGATTAAAGTCTGAATGTATTTCCTAAAGAAGAAGACCAACCAAAATAGGTTATTTAAATATTTGGCTATTCTAAGTCCAAAGCTACTCTTTAAAAGGAAGCCATATTTAACCACTCCATGTAATATGTAATTATGTCTTGACATACAGAACTAGGTAATGCAATAATTAAAGGTATTTGGTCACCATAATTTTTTTCTAAAAACGGAGAAATGTGCAAATTATTTACCTACCAGTTTACACAAACAGGCAAAGCAAAAACAAAAGCACTTGTCAAGGTGGACAAAAATGCTGCTACAGTTAAAAATCTGCATATACTCTTTACTTTGTCATTCTTAAAAATGTGTTTCTGGGTAGTTGGTTTACTGAAATAGGTGAAAGCTGTACTGTAATGTCATTTTTAAATTTTGTAACACTTTTTGTAACATTTTGTAACATTTGGTGAAGAAATTATGTTTCTTCACTTAAGGAGATAAATTGTGTTCATTATAGAACTTTGAAAGTGAACGACCAAACCAAATGTGCAAAAATTGACTGAATATGAATTACTTTACACTTATGTGTGAAAATAATCTTCAACATTATGTATTCCATACACATGTTTTTGGTGTTTTAAATTATCTCCGGGCTTTCCTAAATTCAAGTTGGAGAAGCAGAATTAGTTAGATTTATAGCACACTCACTATAGAAAACATATTTTGAAAACTTGTTTTACCACATCTCTGCTCAGCTGGATGGGGCTCCTGTGAAAGAACAAAGCAATTACATAGAATTTTACACAGAATTGTAAAACCTGCAAATTTTTTTTAACATTTTCTTTACCTTATCTGATAGCACAGCACATACGTTGCAACTCTTACTCTGAAAACTACTATCACTTCTGAATGTTTATTAAATAACAGCCATAGGTGTGCAAAGGATTTACAAATGGATAGCCACATTTACTGCCAATGAAAAACAAAGTTTATTTAACATGTGCAGTATCTTTGTGATATATATATTACTCCTTATTTGGTACAGATGAAAACGCTGAAGCTCGGAAGAATGAAATAATGTTTTCCAGGAACACAGCAAGAGCTAGGTTTCAATTAAAATATTATTCTCGTAGCTACTTCTGGGTTGACTCTAGAAACACCCCAAGCCACATGGGTTTGTTAAGATGTTTAACTGGGTAATTATTTTTATGGGTAATTATGTTTCAGACAGTTTTACAATTTTACAGATATAAAAATATATATGAAAAAGATATATATATGTTGTAATGCATATATATATATTCATATTTCATATGAAGAAGGCACAAGAGGAACACTCAGTGCCTAGGTAAAAAGAATGGAGTTGGATAGTAGGTTAATAGTGGTTGATGAGATAAGAAGTAGTCATGGTCATGACTTACTTTCCTGGTGTCATGCAATTTCTATTGACAGCATTTCTTCAAAGTTGTAATTTTTATTGAGAATAAATTAATAAAACTCTGTAAGATTTTAAGATAAAAGATCTCCCAATATTTTCAAAGCATCATTACAACCTTCTTTAAAGTTTCTAGCAATTGTATCAATTTCTTTATTCTTATTTTCATTGTAGAAAAAAATTGATTTTTGAGATATTTTAAAAGTCATAGAGAAAATATTTGGCCATGGAAAGGGTCCAAAATGGGAGGAGGAAATTAAAAAGGACTGAGATTTCTGAAACACATACATTGTTCCAAGGGAGTACCAAGCATGCTACAAAGGAGGCAGAGGATTGAATGACTGAAGAAAAGATTTTGAAGGACACTTTGAGGTGTTCTTCCTACACCTTCCATCATCCTATCTCAGGAGGGTGAATGGATTGGAGAGATTATAAAAAGAGTTATTGTGATGGCCTTGATGTTAGTCCAAAACATCCTTTTCTAGTCTATGTGATTGATAAGGATGCTGAAGCTGTTCATGGCTGTGGAAAGGGAAGGGGAGAGGAGAGTTATCCCATTGCTGTACTGTATCTGAGTGACTTCACCTCAGAGGAAAGGAACAGAGAAGCATCTCTAAACCACATTCTCAAATCCAAATTCACCAGCAATAATGCTAGTAATTTTCATATCTGACTCCCATGTGTAGACTCTAATTGAGTCAGGATCCAAAAGGAGGGCAATTCAATGGCTCCTTTAAGTTCTAACATGATGAATGTAGAAGTATTCCAAATTTTTAGCTAAAATAATATTTATCATAATAGTTATTATTACTGCTACTAACTCACTGCAAGACTTACGGAATAACTACTATATGATGCTCTGGCCAGGATCTGAGATGTCCACAATTCTACTCATATGTTTTAGCTAAAGAGAATTTAATGAAAAGACAGAGAATAAAAAGGTAAAGTTAAAGGAATCAGCCAAAGGGGTTAAAAAAGTCAAGGCTAACTGTAGAAAACCATTTCCATCTTTAGGTCTGAAGGACCAAGGACAGTGGCTTCTGTCACAGAGCTCAGTGAGAGCTGAAGCCAGGAAGAAATCCCTTGCCAACATCTTCCCAAGACACACATCCCAAGACATTCTCCAGGGAGGGATGCAGCCAATTTAGCACACTTATAATGAAGCAGGAAGGGAATGAGAAAGAAATTGAGGTAATTCCCTATCTTTCCCACTTCTGACATCCTAGAGAGTCTTCTCAAAAGCCAAGGTCAGCTGGAAACCAGACACCATAGGTGCCCTGTTGACCAGGTCCATAGGAGCCCAACTCCAGGTGAACAATGCAAGGCACAGAAGAGAAGACAATAGATGTGAATGGGAGTAGGGTGGAAAAGGAGAATCACCAGCACACCTATATTATCTATAAATCCAAAATGTTCCACACTTACACATTACTATCCCTATTAAAAAGATAAATGTACAAAACTCAAAATTGATATATCACTAGTTCAAGTTCAACAAAAGTTAGTTTATCTTCCAATGGTGTTCCAGACTCTGAAACCTTCTCCCGATACCATCCACTATACTTGCTGTAAGCAGGAACTTAATATTTCCCAAAGTCTAACATATTAAATTATTTGGGAGTAAAGTAAAATAAATAATGAATCCCATTCCTACATCACTCTTGGGGGATGCGATTCCCTGAAGACAGTGTGGAGTTGGCAAAACTCATGTGCTCCGTGAGCTTAGGATTTTCAGAAGAATCGAAATATTGTGGTTGTTCATAATTTGAATGACTTTTTGCTAGAAATAATTGACCTGCAGGGATTTGGTCTCCACACAGTAATTGCATTATAAACTCTACAGGTTCTCAATACCCATTCTGTAATCATGAAATCATGCTTCTTTCTCAGGTAGGATTAGATATATTTTTTAAAAAGTTTAAAATCCGGCAGTAAATATTTTAATTGATAGAAATAAATGGAGCTGAAACATATTCTGATGAATTAGAAAATGTTTATATTAAAGTGTTGCTATTCTTTTCAGAGTACTGGTGTTTACAGAGTGTTTGCATAATGAAAAGAAAATAGGCCAAAAGAATTTTTATTTCATCAATAATTATTGACTGCCTCCAATTCAGGAGGCACAAATCTAGGTGCTGCTGAGTCTATAACTAGATCAGATAAAAATCCTTGACCCTAAAGGAGCTCATGCTTTGATGTTGAGTTTCGTTCTAGACTAGACCTGGATCATTCACCAAATAATACTAGTAGCCTCAATTTGTTAAGCATGTAGTACATGACAGATATATTTTAAAAACTTTTACTGAATTAACTTTCTCATCAAGAGAGAATGGCTATTAATCAAATTTTATGGATAAGAAAACTGAGGCACACAGAAATTAATAACTTGCCCCAGGCCACACAGGTAGGAACTAGAGGCACTGGGTTTTTCACCCAGGAAGTGTGACTGCAAACTCCCAGTAACTGTCCCACTCTGCTGGCTTTCAATAGTAAACTATGCTTACTGTTTATACTTGATTTAGAACAATCAAGATCTGGTATTAAATCATCCTTCTGATTCATTTTGTGTTAACAATGCCACTCTTTACTATTATAAGAGCTGTATCATGTAATATTTTATAGCCCTTTCATAAAGAATGGGCTACTTTTAGGTTTATAGCCTATATTACTTAAAAATAATAAAAATATGTTTTGTGAAGCTGCCTTCTCTAGATTTCTTTTTCCACTCCAAATTGAACCATGACCACTTTCCAAGGAGACACCACTCTTGTTAAAGACAAAGACCAACCTTCTAGACTCTTTGTAGGACAGAATAGAAGAAGCAAGCATTCACATGGGAATGTCTCAGTGTAGGGTGCATGTCAGGAGAGCACAGGCTCAGATGCCTCCAAAGCCATTTCTGTCCAATTGCAGAAGCTTCTCCCTGAGATTTCCTTGCTCAAAGCAGTAGGATATTGTGTTCTTGTTTTTTCAGAAGAAAGACTATTTCCACAAAATTCTCAGTTAAATTATTTGGACTATTTATTGCTTGCATTACTTCAACTTCCAATAGAAAAAAAAAAAGACTCATAAAAAAACAGATGAATTGAGAAGTTATTTTGAAGGGTGATTAATATTTCAATAAAAAAGCCCATTAAAAATGTAATTAGGCGGGGCACGGTGGCTCCCGCCTGTTATCCCAGTACTTTGGGAGGCTGAAGCGGGTGGATTGCCTGAGGACAGGAGTTCAAGACCAGCTTGGCCAACATAGTGAAACCCCGTTTCTACTAAAAATACAAAAAAATTAGCTGAACGTGGTGGTGGGCACCTGTAATCCCAGCTACTCGGGAGGTTGAGGCAGCAGTATTGCTTGAACCTGGGAGACAGAGGTTGCAGTGAGCTGAGATTGCACCATTGCACTCCAGCCTGGGCGACAAGAGTGAAACTCCGCCACACACACACACACAAATGAAATCCAGCACCAAAACAGTATTTGCCTATTTGGCAATTAAATGTACCATCAAACAGAGGGATAGAGAATGTGGTATATTATATATATATCATACATTATAATGTGATATAATATATAATACACCACAGTTTCTTTATCCACTTGTTGTTTGATGGATATATACATATATATTATATGTAATATATATACAAAATGTATATGATGGAATACTACTCAGCCATAAAAAGGGATGAAGTAATGGCATTCACAGCAACTTGGATGGGATTGGAGACTAATATTCTAAGTGAAGTAATTCAGAAATAAAATACCAAATATAGTGTGTTCTCACTCATAAGTGGAAACTAAGCTGTCAGGATGCAAAGGCATAAGAATGACACAAAGGACTTCGGGGACTTGGGGGAAACGGTGGAGGAGGTGAGGGATAAAAGGCTACACATTGGGTTCATTGTATACTGTTTGGATGATGGGTGCACCAAAATCTCACAAATCACCACTAAAGAACTTACTCATGTAACCAAATACCACCTTTTCCCCCAAAACCTATGGAAATAAAAAATAAAAATAAAAACCAAAAGAAATTCAATTGGACCCTGTGAGCTTTAACAAGGTAATTATGATTCTATTGATTTAGGTGACTTATCTTCTAACTTATTACCCTAGGCAGAAGCCCAATGTCCTTTTGTGTAGAATGAGATAATACGGTGGACAAGTTTTGAACATTGAATTTACAGAGTGCTTTATTTATGAAGTGACCTGTTTCCAGTGTTGGCATGGTAGTTATTAAAAAAAAGTTAGTATAACATTGTCAAGTCTGGATATGTGTCATAGAAGAAACACGTCGATTGTTCCATCATGATCTTCATGGTCACTTTTATCTTGCCCAAATGTTGAGAGATTCAGGTCAGGATATTTTAAGTATGGTCTCAGTCATGTTGTTAATATGATTATGATTTCACTTTGATCTGTTACATGTTTTAACAAATTCATATTGAACTTGTGTTCCAATGTTTTTTCTTAGTTTTTCAAGTGTTAGAATGAGGTAGAGTTAAAACAACAGCATTTTAGTTTGAGGATAAGTTTCTTCATCATTTTATCCTTATTGCCCCCCTCCCCAGGAGCCCTTTGATACACTATTGTTTTCTTTATATCCCTATCAACATTTAATACCATCAATACAGGTGCACTTGTGTATCTATATACCATGCAAATGTATATGGTTTATGTATTATGTGCATATGTATTATAAATACAAATATGTAATATCTACTTTCATTCCCCAAGAACCAATTTTTGCCCCCTTGGACAAAAATATACAAAATGAAGAAATGTAGCTTGGTCTTTAAAGTTAAAAAAGATTTGTTGATAAGAGGGCCAGCTGAGGTAGAATAAAGTGAAGAAAATGGGCACACATTAGAGGGTGAGGGAAGATCTGGAAAATGATCTCCAGTTCACAGGGGCAGGCAAAGCGATTCTTGTTCTACAGGGATGTATACCAGGCATCAGTCCCACTTTCCTAAGCACGTTCAGTTGTGATAAACCTGGAGGGTTTCAAAGGCTGATACTTTAGATCCCACATTCAAAGGTGTGTTGTTAAACAAAGAATTACAGTTTCAAAGAAAAGCAATGTTTACAACCATGGGTTCAAGAAAAGTCTAAGTGAACACATATAACAAAGACTTGCAAAAAGATAAAAGATAAGGCTCTTTAACTATCAAAAGACTTGCAGAAAAGAACCACAGAAAACCATTTTAAATATTATTGCCTTTGTATATTAAAAAACTCTATATTAGTTTAGATGTTTAAAGCATCAATCACATGCTCACTAGGCTATTTCTTAATGTCACATGTATTTACATTTTGAGAGAAGAGGAAGAAATAGCAGATGACACCACTGGGGTAATGCATAAATGACAAACCTAAATGCATTTTAATTTCCTTTTATTTAGATGTCATTTGAAGCCAAGCAAACACAATGTTAAAGAAAAACCATACAGCCGTGACTGAGTTTGTTCTCCTGGGACTGACAGATCGGGCTGAGCTGCAGTCCCTTCTTTTTGTGGTATTTCTAGTCATCTACCTTATCACAGTAATCGGCAATGTGAGCATGATCTTGTTAATCAGAAGTGACTCGACACTACACACTCCAATGTACTTCTTCCTCAGTCACCTCTCCTTTGTAGATCTCTGTTATACCACCAATGTTACTCCTCAGATGCTGGTTAACTTTTTATCCAAGAGAAAAACCATTTCCTTCATCGGCTGCTTTATCCAATTTCACTTTTTCATTGCACTGGTGATTACAGATTATTATATGCTCACAGTGATGGCTTATGACCGCTACATGGCCATCTGCAAGCCCTTGTTATATGGAAGCAAAATGACCAGGTGTGTCTGCCTCTGTCTCGCTGCTGCTCCCTATATTTATGGCTTTGCAAATGGTCTAAGCACAGACCACCCTGATGCTTCGTCTGTCCTTCTGTGGACCCAATGACATCAACCACTTTTACTGTGCGGACCCACCCCTCTTAGTCCTCGCCTGCTCAGATACTTATGTCAAAGAGACCGCCATGTTGGTGGTGGCTGGTTCCAACCTCATTTGCTCTCTCACCGTCATCCTCATTTCCTACACTTTCATCTTCACTGCCATTCTGCGTATCCACACTGCTGAGGGGAGGCGCAAGGCCTTCTCCACCTGCGGGTCTCATGTGACCGCTGTCACTGTCTTCTATGGGACACTGTTCTGCATGTACCTGAGGCCCCCTTCTGAGACATCTATACAACAGGGGAAAATTGTAGCTGTTTTTTATATCTTTGTGAGTCCGATGTTAAACCCATTGATCTACAGCCTGAGGAATAAAGACGTTAAAAGAAGTATAAGGAAAGTTATTCAAAAGAAACTGTTTGCTAAGTAAGGTAGATATTTTGGTCATAGGTGTTGGAATCTGTTCTTATTATCTGACCAATTAATGAACATTTAAAATTAACAAATCAATCTGTCATTGAGTGTTTTTTGTCCTTTGTAATTTGCATATGGGACTTAAAAGTGTATGTCAAATTATTAGCTAGAGCTTACACTGCCACCTCAGTAAATTGAAAATGAAAGCATAGAAATTCAAATATAAGACTAGAAGACATTGTTCTAGCTCTGTAAAAAGTAATGAAGTACAGATGATTCCATTATTAGTACTCATAGTACTAATATATCATAGTACTATATCATAGTACTAATATATCATAATACTATATCATAGTACTGTATCATAGTACTAATATATCATAGTACTGTATCATAGTACTAATATATCATAGTACTGTATCATAGTACTATATATCATAGTACTATATATCATAGTACTATATATCATAGTACTATATATCATACTAAAATATCATAAAAGACAGAATTATCAATTGCTGAGAAAATGACAGCTCATTACATTTTTTTAAATGTTTTTGTTTGTCCCTTTGAATGAATGGAGGATATCTACCTAACTTCTATGTATTCAGAATCTCACATGAGGCAGCACATTTAGCACACTTGTTTAGTTGTAATCTTCTATGCTTATCTTCGTGAGTCTGTTTGAAAAGTTGGATAAATGGCAATGAGTGACTACATTTGCTAATTACATTTTATAATACTTAATAAGCCTCCAAGCTATTTTCCAGAAACTTGCCAACCATAGTAGATGAGGTTTCTGTTTTTCTTTTATACATATTATATAGAAATGAAGATCCTTTAGGTGTACTTTGGATTATTACTTTAAGTTATATCCTTAGAATGATATCATAGATCCAATGAAACCCTATTTCATAAGGCTTTTCATGGAAATGCCAAATTTCCTTTAGAAAGAGTTTTTAATTGTTTGTATGTTGTACCAGTAAGGATTCCCATCAACATGTGAACTCAATTCTTCACTCTTTTATTACCATTGCCTGTTTCCTTTGAATAAATAAATTGAATTGAATGTTTTATCCACGAATGCATGTGGATATTTGTGTGTTTTATGTGTGTATGTAGGTGTGTGTGTGTATTTTGATTACAATATAACATTTTCTTTTTTTTAATTGCTTATTCAAATTTTTTTGGTGAGAATCAAGGTCGTATGCCTTTTTTTTTTTTTTTTTTTTGACAGAGTATTGCTCTGTTGCTCAGGCTGGAGTACAGTGGCGCGATCTCGGCTCACTGAAAGCTCCGCCTCCCGGGTTCACGCCATTCTCCTGCCTCAGCCTCCCGAGTAGCTGGGACTACAGGCGCCCGCCACCACGCCCGGCTAATTTTTTGTATTTTTAGTAGAGACGGGGTTTCACCGTGTTAGCCAGGATGGTCTTGATCTCCTGACCTCGTGATCCGCCCGCCTCGGCCTCCCAAAGTGCTGGGATTACAGGCATGAGCCACCGCGCCCAGCTGCTTCACCTGTTTTTAAATTGTGGTGTTTATATGTTTTCTTATTTATTTCAGATATTTCTCAATGATATAAACATGTTTTTGTTATATATACAGGTGTAGCAATTGTATATATATACACATGAATTCCATTTTATCTCTTCTATTGTATCTTTTCCAAAGTTAATATTTTATCATTTTAAATTTTCTCAATTTTTTTTATTTCACTTTATTGTGTCTTTTTTTACTTTTAGGAAGTTAAGTTTATGCCACCTATGATCATGTGGATTTTTACATATATTATTAAATTATTTTCATGGTTTCGCTTGTTAATTTTTTCTTATGAACTATTTTTAATATACATCTAAAATAGAAAATAATATAAAGACTCCTTTGTAAGCACAACTAATCACTATTAAATCTTCACAGAATGCCCCATTTGTTTCAGTTATTTCAGAAATTTAAAACTTACAAAGATACATCTCTCCTGACTGATTCTGTCTCTTGTCCCATTTCTTGCTGTAAACTCTATTACAAATTTAATGTTTCTTATCCTTCTGTAGAGTTACATCATTGGATAGGTGTTTATATATTCATAGAAATATGTAGTACTGATTTGCTACATTTAGAACTTGAAATAAATGCATCCACTCTATGTATCTTTCTGCAATTTATTTATCTTGCACTAAATATTGTTGGATGTATCTGTGGTGAATCATGCAGCAGCAATTTTTAGTGGTATAGTCTATGCCAATATATAAATATGCCTCAATATGTGTATTTATTCTACGATTTTTTTTTTTTTTGAGACAGAGTCTCACTCTTGTTGCCCAGGCTGGGGTGCAATGGCACGATCTCGGCTCACCGCAAACTCCGCCCCCCAGGGTCAAGCGATTCTCCTGTCTAGCCTCCTAGTAGCTGGGATTACAGGTGCCCACCACCATGCCAGGCTAATTTTGTATTTTTAATAGAGACGGGATTTCACCATGTTAGCCAGGATGGTCTTGATCACCTGACCTTGTGATCCTCCCGCCTCAGCCTCCCAAATTGTATTTTATTTCTACTGTTGGTGAAGAGTTACATTTTCCAGTTTCTTGATAATATGAAAATCCATTAATAAATGTTTTGTGTGTAATTATGAATGTGTACCACGTAAGGAGTTCCTCTCAGGTAGGTTGGTAATTTCTTGGTCATAAGATATAAGTATCTTTAAATTTACTATATATTGCCAATTGTTTTACTGATTTATATTTCTATCAACAGTTTGTGAGTGTTACCTTTACATCACTTTATTCTTGCCAAAACTAGGTGTTGTCAGACTTTAAATGTTTTCTAATCTGATGGGTAAACAATGAATTCTCATTTGGTGTTTAAGGTTGAATTGTTATTACAAGTGAAACTAAGTATTTTTAAGTATATTGATGCTAATCTCATATTTCTCTTTCACTTATATGTCCATATACTTTGTTAACTTTTCAGGTAGGGTGATTTGTCTTTATTTCATACATTTATAATAGTTCCTTATGTACCAAATGCTACATACAAATCTTTTGGTGTTATATGCCATTTAACCTTAAAAACCTAGGGTAATAATGCCAGGCAGTGTGGCTCACACATGTAATCCCAGTACTTTGGGAGGCTGAGGCAGGAGGATTGCTTGAGCCCAGGAGTTTTAGGCCAAACTACACAAGATAGAGACTCTGTCTTTACAAAAAAATAAAAAAAAATTAGCCAGTTGTGGTGGGATGCCCTTGTGGTCCCAGCTACATGGGAAGCTGAGGCAGGAGGATCACTTGAGCCTGGGAGGTAGAGGCTTCAGTGAACCATGTTGTCACCACGACACTCCAGTCTGGATGACAGAGGATGGATGACAGAGCCTGGATGACTCCAGCCTGGATGACCCTGTCTCAATAAAACAAAACAAACCCCAAAAAACCTAGGGTGAGATGAACAGATGAACGTTATTTCTTGAATGCCTCAGCAAATAGCCATAGGTATCTATTTTTCTGGTAGCTGCAATTTGATTGGGACAAGTTGGGAATTTCAGCTCATTTGACAAGTATTTTCATAATAGATATTTTCCCAGTAGGATTGGATTTTTTTTTTTCCACATAGTGAATGCTTATATGTGAGCATAAAATGTTTCCCACAGATTGGGATTGGATAAATTATATGAAGTGTGATCCTAGTATATTGCTTTGCCATTGAAATACTGGTTATTACCCAAATAGAAAATTAACATTTAAAAGAGCCAACAGGCTGGGCAAAGTGGCTTAGGCCTGTAATCCCAGCCTTTTGGGAGGCCAAGGCCCACAGATCACTTGAGTTCAGGAGTTCGAGACTAACCTGGGCAACATGAGGAAACCCTGTCTCTAAAAAAACCACAAAAATTAGTTAGGTCTGGTGGCAAGTGTCTGTAGTCCAAGCTACTCAGGAGGCTGATGTGGGAGGATGGCTTCAGCCTGGGAGGCAAAGGTTGCAGTGAGCTGAGATCATGCCAGTGCACTCCAGCCTGGGTAACAGAGTAAGATCCTGTCTTAAAAAAATAATAAAATAGGCCAGGTGCAGTAGTTCATGCCTGTAATCCCAGCACTTTGGGAGGCCGAGGCAGGTGAATCACAAGGTCAGGAGTTCGAGACCAGCCTGGCCAAGATGGCGAAACCCCGTCTCTACTAAAAATACAAAAATTAGCCAGGTGCAGTGGTGGGTGCCTGTAATTCCAGCTACTTGGGAGGCTGAGGCAGGAGAATCGCTTGAACCCGGGGGGCAGAGGTTGCCATGAGCCAAGATCGTGCCACTGTACTCTAGCCTTGGTGACAGAGCCAGACTCCAACTCAAAAATAAATAAATAAATAAATAAAATAATAAAATATAATATAATAAGAATGCCAACAGAATAATTCTGATTTCAGCTACAGTTTATGCTTTTTTATGAGAAATTCAACTCCAATCTTTTAATTTTATTCTCCTTTATTCTGTTGTTCAGACATTGCATATTAAAAAGGCATTTTTTTTCTTAACCAATAGTTTTATCCTTATTGCTGTCCTTATTCTGGAGAGAACTTCATATTTCAAGGCACAGCCCAAATATCAACTCCCTTGTCCTTTCATGAGCAAACAGTTGCACATACCCATTCCTGTGATTGTGTAGATATTGCAACTCTATTTGTCTGTTAGTCACACAGAAAATTCATAATAATACAATGCCATGTTTCCTAATATATTCTGAGAGTTCTGTGAGAAATGAAACCTATTGTATCGGTTAAGTACTGAAGATGGCCGAATAGGAACAGCTCCAGTCTACAGCTCCCAGCGTGAGCGACGCAGAAGATGGGTGATTTCTGCATTTCCATCTGAGGTACCGGGTTCATCTCACTAGGGAGTGGCAGACAGTGGGCCCAGGTCAGTGGGTGCGCGCACCCTGCGCGAGCCGAAGCAGGGTGAGGCATTGCCTCACTCTGGAAGCACAAGGGGTCAGGGAGTTCCCTTTCCTAGTCAAAGAAAGGGGTGACAGATGGCACCTGGAAAATCGGGTCACTCCCACCCCAATACTGTGCTTTTCCGACGGGCTTAAAAAATGGCACACCAGGAGATTATATCCCGCACCTGGCTCAGAGAGTCCTATGCCCACGGAGTCTCACTGATTGCTAGCACAGCAGTCTGAGATCAAACTGCAAGGCGGCAGCGAGGCTGGGGGAGGGGTGCCCACCATTGCCCAGGCATGCTTAGGTAAACAAAGCAGCCAGGAAGCTCGAACTGGGTGGAGCCCACCACAGCTCAAGGAGGCCTGCCTGCCTCTGTAGGCTCCACCTCTGGGGGCAGGACAGAGACAAACAAAAGACAGCAGTAACCTCTGCGGACTTAAATGTCCCTGACAGCTTTGAAGAGAGCAGTGGTTCTCCCAGCACGCAGCTGGAGATCTGAGAAAGGGCAGACTTCCTCCTCAAGTGGGTCCCTGACCCCTGACCCCCGAGCAGCATAACTGGGAGGCACCCCCCAGCTTGGGCAGACTGACACCTCACACGGCCGGGTACTCCAACAGACCTGCAGCTAAGGGTCCTGTCTGTTAGAAGGAAAACTAACAAACAGAAAGGACATCCACACCGAAAACCCATCTGTACATCACCATCATCAAAGACCAAAAGCAGATAAAACCACAAAGATAGGGAAAAAACAGAGCAGAAAAACTGGAAACTCTAAAAAGCAGAGCACCTCTCCTCCTCCAAAGGAAAGCAGTTCCTCACCAGCAACGGAACAAAGCTGGATGGAGAACGACTTTGACGAGATGAGAGAAGAAGGCTTCAGATGATCAAATTACTCCAAGCTACGGGAGGTCATTCAAACCAAAGGCAAAGAAGTTGAAAACTTTGAAAAAAATTTAGAAGAATGTATAACTAGAATAACAAATAGAGAGAAGTGCTTAAAGGAGCTGATGGAGCTGAAAACCAAGGCTCGAGAACTACGTGAAGAATGAAGAAGCCTCAGGAGCCGATGCGATCAACTGGAAGAAAGGGTATCAGCAATGGAAGATGAATTGAATGAAATGAAGCAAGAAGGGAAGTTTAGAGAAAAAAGAATAAAAAGAAATGAGCAAAGCCTCCAAGAAATATGGGACTATGTGAAAAGACCAAATCTATGTCTGATTGGTGTACCTGAAAGTGACAGGGAGAATGGAACCAAGTTGGAAAACACTCTGCAGGATATTATCCAAGAGAACTTCCCCAATCTAGCAAGGCAGGCCAACATCCAGATTCAGGAAATACAGAGCACACCACAAAGATACTCCTCGAGAAGAGCAACTCCAAGACACATAATTGTCAGATACACCAAAGATGAAATGAAGGAAAAAATGTTAAGGGCAGCCAGAGAGAAAGGTCGGGTTACCTTCAAAGGGAAGCCCATCAGACTAACAGCGGATCTCTCAGCAGAAACTCTACAAGCTAGAAGAGAGTGGGGGCCAATATTCAACATTATTAAAGAAAAGAATTTTCAACCCAGAATTTCATATCCAGCCAAACTAAGCTTCATAAGTGAAGGAGAAATAAAATACTTTACAGACAACCAAATGCTGAGAGATTTTGTAACCACCAGGCCTACCCTAAAAGAGCTCCTGAAGGAAGCACTAAACATGGAAAGGAACAACCGGTACCAGCCGCTGCAAAATCATGCCAAAATGTAAAGACCATCAAGACTAGGAAGAAACTGCATCAACTAACGAGCAAAATAACCAGTTAACATCATAATTACAGGATGAAATTCACACATAACAATATTAACTTTAAACACAAATGGACTAAATGCTCCAATTAAAAGACACAGACTGGCAAATTGGATAAAGAGTCAAGACCCATCAGTGTACTGTATTCAGGAAACCCATCTCACGTGCAGAGACACACATAGGCTCAAAATAAAAGGATGGAGGAAGATCTACCAAGCAAATGGAAAACAAAAAAAGGAAGGGGTTGCAATCCTAGTCTCTGATAAAACAGACTTTAAAACAACAAAGATCAAAAGAGACAAAGAAGGCCATTACATAATGGTAAAGGGATCAATTCAACAAGAAGAGCTAACTATCCTAAATACATATGCACCCAATACAGGAGCACCCAGATTCATAAAGCAAGTCCTGAGTGACCTACAAAGAGACTTAGACTCCCACACATTAATAATGGGAGACTTTAACACCCCACTGTCAACATTAGACAGATCAACGAGACAGAAAGTCAACAAGGATACCCAGGAATTGAACTCAGCTCTGCACCAAGCATACCTAATAGACATCTACAGAACTCTCCACCCCAAATCAACAGAATATACATTTTTTTCAGCACCACACCACACCTGCTCCAAAATTGACCACATACTTGGAAGTAAAGCTCTTCTCAGCAAATGTAAAAGAACAGAAATTATAACAAACTATCTCTCAGACCACAGTGCAATCAAACTAGAACTCAGGATTAAGAATCTCACTCAAAACCACTCAACTACATGGAAACTGAACAACCTACTCCTGAATGACTACTGGGTACATAACGAAATGAAGGCAGAAATAAAGATGTTCTTTGAAACCAACGAGAACAAAGACACAACATACCAGAATCTCTGGGACACATTCAAAGCAGTGTGTAGAGGGAAATTTATAGCACTGAATGCCCACAAGAGAAAGCAGGAAAGATCCAAAATTGACACCCTAACATCACAATTAAAAGAACTAGAAAAGCAAGAGCAAACACATTCAAAAGCTAGCAGAAGGCAAGAAATAACTGAAATCAGAGCAGAACTGAAGGAAATGGAGACACAAAAAACCCTTCAAAAAATTAATGAATCCAGGAGCTGGTTTTTTGAAAGGATCAACAAAATTGATAAACCGCTAGCAAGACTAATAAAGAAAAAAAGAGAGAAGAATCAAATAGAGGCAATAAAAAATGATAAAGGGGATATCACCACCGATCCCACAGAAATACAAACTACCATCAGAGGATACTACAAACACCTCTATGCAAATAGACTAGAAAATCTAGAAGAAATGGATAAATTCCTCAACACATACACTCTCCCAAACTAAACCAGGAAGAAGTTGAATCTCTGAATAGACCAATAACAGGATCTGAAATTGTGGCAATAATCAATAGCTTACCAACGAAAAAGAGTTCAGGACCAGATGGATTCACAGCCGAATTCTACCAGAGGTACAAGGAGGAACTGGTACCATTCCTTCTGAAACTATTCCAATCAATAGAAAAAGAGGGAATCCTCCCTAATTCATTTTATGAGGCCAGCATCATCCCGATACCAAAGCCTGGCAGAGACACAACCAAAAAAGAGAATTTTAGACCAATATCCTTGATGAACATTGATGCAAAAATCCTCAGTAAAATACTGGCAAACCGAATCCAGCAGCACATCAAAAAGCTTATCCACCATGATCAAGTGGACTTTATCCCTGGGATGCAAGGCTGGTTCAATATATGCAAATCAATAAATGTAATCCAGCATATAAACAGAACCAAAGACAAAAACCACATGATTATCTCAATAGATGCAGAAAAGGCCTTTGACAAAATTCAACAACACTTCATGCTAAAAACTCTCAATAAATTAGGTATTGATGGGACGTATTTCAAAATAATAAGAGCTATCTATGACAAACCCACAGCCAATATCATACTGAATGGGCAAAAACTGGAAGCATTCCCTTTGAAAACTGGCACAAGGCAGGGATGCCCTCTCTCACCACTCCTATTCAATATAGTGTTGGAAGTTCTGGCCAGGGCAATTAGGCAGGAGAAGGAAATAAAGGGTATTCAATTAGGAAAAGAGGAAGTCAAATTGTCCCTGTTTGCAGATGACATGATTGTATATCTAGAAAACCCCATCATCTCAGCCCCAAATCTCCTTAAGCTGATAAGCAACTTCAGCAAAGTCTCAGAATACAAAATCAATGTGCAAAAATCACAAGCATTCTTATACACCAACAACAGACAAACAGAGAGCCAAATCATGAGTGAAATCCCATTCACAGTTGCTTCAAAGAGAATAAAATACCTAGGAATCCAACTTACAAGGGATGTGAAGGACCTCTTCAAGGAGAACTACAAACCACTGCTCAAGGAAATAAAAGAGGATACAAACAAATGGAAGAACATTCCATGCTCATGGGTAGGAAGAATTAATATCTTGAAAATGTCCATACTGCCCAAGGTAATTTACAGATTCAATGCCATCCCCATCAAGCTACCAAGGGCTTTCTTCACAGAATTGGAAAAAACTACTTTAAAGTTCATATGGAACCGAAAAAGAGCCCGCATCGCCAAGTCAATCCTAAGCCAAAAGAACAAAGCTGGAGGCATCACACTACCTGACTTCAAACTATACTACAAGGCTACAGTAACCAAAACAGCATGGTACTGGTAGCAAAACAGAGATATAGATGAATGGAACAGAACAGAGCCCTTAGAAATAACGCCGCATATCTACAACTATCTGATCTTTGACAAACCTGAGGAAAACAAGCAATGGGGAAAGGATTCCCTATTTAATAAATGGTGCAGGGAAAACTGGCTAGCCATATGTAGAAAGCTGAAACTGGATCCCTTCCTTACACCTTATACAAAAATCAATTCAAGATGGATTAAAGACTTAAATGTTAGACCTAAAACCATAAAAACCCTAGAAGAAAACCTAGGCATTACCATTCAGGACATAGGCATGGGCAAGGACTTTATGTCTAAAACACCAAAAGCAATGGCAACAAAAGCCAAAATTGACAAATGGGATCTAATTAAACTAAAGAGCTTCTGCACAGCAAAAGAAACTACCATCAGAGTGAACAGGCAACCTACAAAATGGGAGAAAATTTTCACAACCTACTCATCTGACAAAGGGTTAATATCCAGAATCTACAATGAACTCAAACAAATTTACAAGAAAAAAACAAACAACCCTGTCAAAAAGTGGGTGAAGGACATGAACAGACACTTCTCAAAAGAAGACATTTATGCAGCCAAAAGACACATGAAAAAATGCTCATCATCACTGGCCATCTGAGAAATGCAAATCAAAAGCACAATGAGATACCATCTCACACCAGCTAGAATGGCAATCATTAAAAAGTCAGGAAACTACAGGTGCTGGAGAGGATGTGGAGAAATAGGAACACTTTTACACTGTTGGTGGGACTGTAAACTAGTTCAACCATTGTGGAAGTCAGTGTGGCGATTCCTCAGGGATCTAGAACTAGAAAAACCATTTGACCCAGCCATCCCATTACTGGGTATATACCCAAAGGACTATAAATCATGCTGCTATAAAGACACATGCACACGTATGTTTATTGCGGCATTATTCACAATAGCAAAGACTTGGAACCAACGGAAATGTCCAACAATGATAGACTGGATTAAGAAAATGTGGCACATATACACCATGGAATACTATGCAGCCATAAAAAATGATGAGTTCATGTCCTTTGTAGGGATATGGATGAAATTGGAAATCATCATTCTCAGTAAACTATCGCAAGAACAAAAAACCAAACACTGCATATCCTCACTCATAGATGGGAATTGAACAATGAGAACACATGGACACAGGAAGGGGAACATCACACTCTGGGGACGGTTGTGGGGTGGGGGGAGGGGGGAGGGATTGCATTGGGAGATATACCTAATGCTAGATGACGAGTTAGTGGGTGCAGCGCACCAGCAAGGCACATGTATACATATGTAACTAACCTGCACATTGTACACATGTACCCTAAAACTTAAAGTATAATAATAGTAATAATAATAAATTAAAAAACAGAAACATTATATCTATCTCCTTGTTTTCATAGCAAGTCATCAATACATGTTTCTAAATTGAGAAAGAATAATTACAATTGAAGGCACATAGTGATGAAAGAAAAATTGTTGATTCTGACATTTGGAGCTGAAAATATTTAATAGCTACAATCTTTAAAAGTCAGTATTTGAAATGAAAAGTTCTTTTATATATGGTTGGGTGATCTGTTGGATAATGTTTTATTCTTCTTAAAGCAAGGTGTCCTTGTTCTTTGGACATATTTTCAGTGTTGTGAGTTGTCTTTCCTTGTCTCTGTCTCTTTCTCTCTGTTGCCCTCTCTGTATCACTGCCTTTCTCTCAATTCCTATTTCATAATTTGGTTTAGCTTATATTGTGTCTTACAGACTCTTCACATGTTGGCCTCAGCCTTACATACTTTCAGGACAATCTCAGTACAGACAAGGCTGCTGCTTGTTTTTGGAAATGACTCCTCTTGCCTGAAATGGCTCAAGTGCACAGCAGGTGTATGTGTGTTTGTTGGTGTGTATGTATTGTGTATGTTCATGTATGGTGCTGGTGGAGGTGCAATCATACAACGAGAATAATTTTTGCTCTACAATAGCTACTACCATTTATTTTACTTTTTGCAGTAAAATTTTTTTCTTACCCACTGCTCTGTTCATTAACAAACTTCTAGTTAGGTAAGAAGGTGTTATTAACTAAGAGTTTGTTAATGATAGTTTATCCTGTTCAGATGTGAGAAAGAATGTTAAAACTAGTGTCTACTCTATTAGGAGATACATTAGATGATCTCACATGCACAATTCCTATGTCCATTTTGCAAACATATTTACTGCACTGCCTATTATAATGCATAGAATTCTGTTGGTGGAAAAATACAAGTGTGTCCAGACATTTTCGCACTGGTTTGCTATGCTAATATTGTTATATGTTGAAAGTGCATGATTTGAGATTGACTGATGCATTGTCATTTTCCCCATAACTTGCCATATTAGATCACTACATTAATTTATTTTGCTTGCTGACTGTCTATTTGTTCTAACATTATTTTTTAAAACAATCAGAAACTTCTTAGTAGTATATGATACTCGCACATAATTGTTTGGACTAAATTAGCAGTTTGACCATCCTTATGAGGATCAGAACAAAATCAGATCATAAGACATGACAGAACACATATAGCTTTGAGACTAAAACCTTAAAAATGTGACTGTTTTCCTTCTCTTTTTTGAGGCTTCTTAGAGTTGAAAGCTTCATGTGTTTTCTCTTTTCTGTTTCTGTTATACTGCCTGACAGAAACATCACTTTACTTACCATGCTTATTCAGTGTACCTGCTTTTCAAGGAAAATGTAATTTGTGTGTTGGAAAGGAATTTGAAAAGTCACTGGTCACATCAGCCCACATGGATACTCTGGATTCTTATCTCCATAGAGAAGGCCAATAACCATTTGCCTTGACCACACCCAATTCCTACTTAAAACTCTTTATCTAACATCTAAGTTTCTCTTCTTCTTCTCTCCTTCTTCTTATTTTTTTTTTTTCTTTTAACCAGGCTTCCATGATACTGGGGACAAAAAAAGAGAAGATAAGAGATGAACTAGTGGCTTTCTGGACTCTCAACTTGAATTATTTGTTTTAAAAAAGTCTAGGGGAAAATGGGTTTGAGGAACACCTTAGCTTTCGATGCTTAAGCTTTTGACTTGTTGTAATCCTGGGTATGGAAAGAACTCTGATAACTTTGTGGCTCTGTTTTCTATTTGGTTTTGTTTTTAATGATTCTCTGGATGTTAAACATCTAGCAAGTAATTTGATTTGCTTAATTCTGAGGAAAGAAAAAATTTCCTTTGAGTTAAATTTATGGGGTAAATTCACTTACATTAAATGTAGGAACTTTAAGTGTGCAGTTCAGTAAAGTTTGACAAATGTGTACAGCCATGTTATCACAATTCCAATTTTCAAGGCTACTGTGCAGCTGGGAAGTGTGAGAATAGGGCAAGTAAAGATGCCACAAAGTTCACTGTCCTTACCAAGATTCAGGAATTTTTTCTTGAATAAATACTCACGGAATTGTTGCAAGCTTTTGATTACTTTCTAGTATCCAGAAACAGTTGACTTTGACTTTTTTTTAGTGTTCTCATGGTTTTCATGGAGGGACAGTTTTGGGAAGGTCATTACTATGTCAATCAGAAAGTTGATTCTTAGATAGATAGATAGATAGATAGATGATAGATTCATCAAGATTGTATGAACAGTTTGTTCATTTTTATTGCTGAGAGTAGTAACCCATTATAGGGATATACTATAATTGGTTCATCTATGCATCTGCTGATACATGTTTGAGACTCTGTATGGATATGTCTTCTTTTGCCTTGGATAAATACTGAAGAGCAAAATTTCTGTGTCATAGTTTTATGATGAACTATAAATTTATATAAAATTTTATAAAGGGCCACCAGTTTTTCACAGCCCATTGAATTATTTTCATTATTATATCTTGTTATGTGTTATAAGAGTTTCAGTTGCTTCACATTATCATTGTTAATCTTTGTATTGTCAATATTTTTTATTCCTCCCATTGAAGTGAGTGTGAAGTGTTACAAAGATAAACAAAGCCAGCTACCAGTTAAAGTAGTAAGGACAGATTTTATTCAGTAATATACTATTGCAATGGACAGGTAGGTTCACTGTAAACTGAACTCTAATTTTGTTTTCACAGAGATAACTGTGTATTCTAAAGGTAGAATGAGGAAATAGGAAGAGGCATGAGCAGGGCTCAAGAGAGTCAGAGAAGTAAAAAAATTACAAAAAGTGTGAAAGGAGTGTTGATCCATGTGAAACCCACCCAGGTTTGCCAACTGGCTCCTACCCTCCCTTGGGAGCTAGTAGACAAGAGCTCTTTCTCCACATATTGGCTGAAACAGACAGTATCTTTTGTTGGCAGCCTTGAGTTTTCTCAGGCAGGTTCTTCCAGGAGTACTACAGTCATCCCAGGGATATGGCCTTGAGCTGTTAGCCACTGTGTTTGTGTTTTGTTCAAGTCTTTTTAGGCCAAGGTTGAGGCCTAGTCAAGAAAGTGCTCAGAGGATTCTTTCTAGAGTTTGGTCCAGGAGGAAATCTTTGTTATGCGGTGTTTCATAATGGGCATAATTTACATTTTCTTGACAAATGCAGATGTTGAATTTCTTTTCATGTGATCGTTTGCTGTTCATGTATCTTCTTTTATGAAGTGTCTGCTCACAACTTAGACTTTCTTTTTTTTTTTAATTGAACTGTTTATATTTGGACCAGTGAATTGTGGGAGATATTTATATGTTCTTAATACCAATCATTTGTCAGAATTACTTACTATGAATAGTCTTCCTAGTCTATGGTTTGCCTTTTCATTATCTTAGCATTATTTTGAAGAATGCGTGTTTTAAAATTTGATGACACACACACACTTTATATATATATAATTATATATATATATTTTATTCACAATTAGTGCTTTTATTTTCTTCCTAAGAAATCTTTGCTTTCCTCAAGATCATAAAGCTATTCTTCCATTTTTTTTTTTTTCCTGGAGGACTTGTAGATTTAGCATTTACATTTAGAATTTTTATTTCCACCAATTTAGTTTTGAGTATTGGCATGTGGTGTGTTATAGGAAGTTAAATATTTTAATGAACATATCCATATTTTCCAGTAGCAGTCTCCATTAAAATACCTTTGCACCTTTGTTCAAAAATCCATTGGCTACATATACGAGTGGATCTATTTGTGATCTCTTTATTCTGTACACTTAACCTCTTCATCATCCTTAGATCCACACACTGCTTTGAATGCTATACTTCTTAGTAACTCTTAGGTGGATGATATTAACTTAAGGGACAGTTTTTCACATACTTTATTTTTTTCAAGAAAGCCTTCAGAAACCCCTGTTCAACTTGTGTTTGAAGACATTAAATGTTTAGTTAACCTGATTTTACTTCAATTACAATGATCAATTGATTGATGTCTGCTAGAAGTGCACCTAATTAATTAGTTATGTAAATACTACAATGGTCAGATAATTGGACACATGGTACTGACCATGGACATTTAAGTAGTGCAAATTATGCAACAATATTTGTTCACTTTCCAAAGGGGTTTTTGTGTTTTTATGACAGCATTTATTTTAGAATCAGATCATGAAGTTTTGCAAACATCATCCTGCTGAAATTTGATAGAAGTGGCTTTAAAATTATTGATAGATTTAGGAAGAATTAACACATTGACTATATTGAATATTCTAATGCACAAGTGAGACGTATGTCTTTATTATTTAGGTCTTCTTTAATTTCGCTCTGCAGACGTTTGTGCTTTTCAGTGTGTATCTTTTGCACACTTTTTATTTTTGTTTCTGAGTAGCTTATGATTTTATGTGATATTTTTAAGTTTTATATTCTACTGTGTATTGCTTTTATGTAACTGTATGAGTGTTTTTGGGTTTTTTTATTTTGTTTTGTTTTGTTTTTTTAGACAGAGTCCCGCTCTGTCACCCAGATTGGAGTGAAGTGGTATAATCTTGGCTCTATGCAATGTCTGCCTCCCAGGTTCAACGGATTCTCCTGCCTCTGCCTCCCAAGTAGCTGGGGCTACAGGCACGTTGCCATCACACCGGTTTCACTATGTTGGCTAGGCTAGTCTCAAACTCCCTACCTCAAATAATCTGCCCACCTCAGGCTCCCAAAGTGCTGGGATTACAGTTGTGAGCCATCGCACCTGGCCTGTATGAGTGGTTTTTGTGTATTGAATTTGTAATTGTAATCATATCATCTTCCAAAATATACACTTAATTTCCCATTTGTATATTTTAAAATAACTTTTATAATAAAGCATCATGTCATCTGTGAATAACACAGATTTGTTTCTTTTCAATTTGTATACTTTTTATTTAGTAGGTAGGACTTTCAGTACCATATTGAACCGACTACAACTTTTAAATAAAAAATAGCCAATTGAGTAATCACAAACACACAAGTAAAATCTTAAGGGCCAATAGGATGTATCCAACTGTCTGAACATGGTGTCATTTGTATAGCTAAATCCATTAGGTGTTCCACTAGCAGACATACATCAATTGGTCCTTCCAGCAGAAGCAAAGTGACATCGACTAAATAAACTAATGTGTTCAGTAATATAGATAGATAATATAAAACTTTCTGAAGGCTTTCTATGAAACATAAAATAAGCATGTGTAAAACTCATCTTTGAGTTAGTATAATATACATAGCTAAATCTGTATTCCCTAACCAAATCTATAAGTAAATTAATGTCACCTTCTAATGTGTGGACATCTGATCATGTGATCCCATATTAAAATTTTTGAGACTTTGCTCTTCCTCATCAAAAATAACCAATCCATTACTTTTTGTCTATCCATTCAGTTATTATTGAGCCAGAATCATTTGTAGTCAGAAGAGTCATTTTGTAACTCTTATGTTTTATTGAAATGTTATTGCATATTAACATATGTAAGAAAACAAATAAATGAATATACATATACATACACACATACTATAGGGCATATTGCCTTCAAATTGAAAGCTGCCATTCTGTTTAACAAAGAGCCAAATTGTCAATTAGTTTTATGCATTAAGGGATGAGGAAATGAGAGACACCAGTATTATAGTCCTATATGACCCTTCATTCTATAGAAATATTTAAGAAATACCATTTTATTTTTATTTATTTATTTATTTATTTATTTTTTATTTTATTTTATTATTATTATTATACTTTAAGTTTTAGGGTACATGTGCACAATGTGCAGGTTTGTTACATATGTATACATGTGCCATGTTGGTGTGCTGCACTCATTAACTCGTCATTTAGCATTAGGTATATCTCCTAATGCTATCCCTCCCACCTCCCCCCACTCCACAACAGTCCCTGGAGCGTGATGTTCCCCTTCCTATGTCCATGTGTTCTCATTGTTCAATTCCAACCTATGAGTGAGAACATGTGGTGTTTGGTTTTCTGTCCTTGCGATAGTTTGCTGAGAATTTGCTGAAAATTGAGTTTCCAGTTTCATCCATGTCCCTACAAAGGACAAGAACTCTTCATTTTTTATGGCTGCATAGTATTCCATGGTGTATATGCGCCACATTTTCTTAATCCAGTCTATCGTTGTTGGACATTTAGGTTGGTTTCAAGTCTTTGCTATTGTGAATAGTGCCCCAATAAACACACGTGTGCATGTGTCTTTATAGCAGCATGATTTATAATCCTTTGGGTATATACTCAGTAATGGGATGGCTGGGTCAAAAGAAATACCATTTTACTTTTAAATTAGTGCAAGGAATCAAAACCATACAGATAAAAACTGAGATAAGGCTTTAAACTCAATTTGAGGAAAAAAATAGCTATGCTCAAATCTCTCAAATTTCATGGGATGTAACAAATCTACATTTTGATTTTGATATATAGCTATATTGTGTTGACTGATTTCTCAAAGAATAACCACCATTTGTGATCTAAGAGAATTAGGGATGCCTCTTCTGTCTTGGTCAGAGCCCATTTTGATTCATTTGTGCTAACCTGGAACTATCAGTGCACTGGAAAATACAGACTAATGAACACATGTCTAGCTTCCCTTATCATCTAACAAATGCAGTGTAAACAAGTTTTAAATATTCTTCCTTCTATTTTCAGCCCTATTCCTAAGTCAACAATTTTATGACTCATCAATTTTATAAACGGTCCTGGTCTCAGACCTGTCTTTGATTCTTAGCTTGTTAATGACTTTCAATAGGGCAGACTAGTTCCAGCATAAATCCAGAACGTCCGTCCTCCAAAGGACCTGGGCCCTGACCAATACTTCTGCTTCCTTCTACTGATTATGTTGTCACTCTGCTGCTCTCCACATCCTTACAAATCCTTCCTTTCCTCAAGTCTTTCAGCTGCCACACCTTTCTACCCCTCACCCTCAGTAAAGGACCTCACCCCAGTGTCTATAGACAAAACTGGAGAGTTCTGATGAAAACCTTCTTGGTTTTATTATATTAAAATTACAAAACTTATCTATCTATATTTTCCTTCTTCCATATTATTGAAAGTGATGGCTAGTTTCTCTGTTTGTGCTAAAGCTCTGATGAACACATGTAACAAAACTGTACATAAATGTTGTATAGGGATTTCATCTTCAAAGGAGAATCTAGCTGTTCAAACTATCAAATAAATGTTAAGCCCTTGAGGAACAAAGGATATTATAATTGGTTCTTTAGAATTACTTTAAAAATACTCTAGGGAATATAGCTAAGAAATATATATCTTGCCACCTTGCTTTACAAACTATGGTGAGTTAACATTAACAGGTAGGTCATTTGCTACATTTGTTCACTAAAAATACAACTTTTTCTGTGTGTGGAGATTAGTATCCAATCAATAGAGGAAACCCATATTTTCATCAATTTCACTGGACTTTTCTATTCATATGTTAACATTTCATTGACTCTAAAATCAATTATATGCAAGCTCCTCTGATGTATATGTGAGAGCTAAATAAGCAATTTCTTTAGGGTGCAAATTTTTGAGCAATAATTTTTACAGTCATAGCTTATTTTCATGAAGAACTCAGAGAGAGTGGCTTGAGTTGGCAGCAAAGACTGCTTTTAACAATGTTCTGTGATTCTCTAACAATATTTTAATAAGTAGTTTAGTGGCATATAAATGGAGACAAAAAAACTTCACTCTCTTCCTTCAGGTGCTATAATTGTTTATTTACTGTTCAAATGTTGCATTCTCAGAAAAGGCTACTTTGAATAGTCATCTAAAAGAATCTCACATTCATTGTTCTTCACAGACCCAGCTTTTACTTGAAATTATAATATGTATCTTTCTCTGTGGGTTTAACCATTATTTCTCATATTATAATGTGAGCTCCATGAAACTGGAAAATTTGTTCACTCCAATAACCCCAGGAATTGTAATACACACAAAAAAATCAAGCTATGCAGTCAGTGTACATGAATAAACAGGCAGGTAAAATTTCAAAGTGAAAAAACAGTTCTTGGTTTTGTATATTCTTAGCCATATATCAAGCACTAAGTTTAACTAATTTAATGTTCACTGACAATCATAGGTTTCTGTTTGTTTGTTTGTTTGTTTGTTTGAGACGGAGTCTCGCTCTGTCGCCCAGACTGGAGTGCCCTGGTGTGATCTCGGCTCACTGCAAGCTCCGCCTCCCGGGTTCACGCCATTCTCCTGCCTCAGCCTCCCGGTAGCTTGGACTACAGGCGCCCGCCACTACGCCTGGCTACTTTTTTGTATTTTGAGTGGAGATGGGGTTTCACAGTGTTAGCCAGGATGGTCTTGATCTCCTGACCTCGTGATCTGCCCGCCTCGGCCTCCCAAAGTGCTAGGATTACAGGCGTGAGCCACCGCGCCCGGCCGACAGTCATAGGTTTTAAGTGAAAATGCTACCTTAATTTTTTTCTTCTGTTTTGTATCTGAAATAATAAGATATCAGACATGGAGGGAAACTGAAGATTGGACTTCCTACATTTATTTATTTAAATGATGCTAATATTAATATCTGATATTCATTTCTTTGTTTTTTTTGTTCCCTCACAAACCTTGAAAATAATTACCAAATGTAGAATTCACCAAGAAGACAAGTATAAATGCATTAATGTATAAATTTATAAATGTATATATATAAGAGACAGAAATAGAGAATGTGCCTGTGTGTGTGTGGGTTTGAGATACAAAAAGAGACAGAAAACACACACATATAAAGAGAAAACGTTGTGCAGAAATTCTGATGTGTTTATTGAAAAAAGTAATTGGTGCCTAGATGAATAGATGAATGAGTGAATGATAAATGGATGAAACAAATGCCAAATCTGGATCAGAGAGAATCCTCACATTCTTTGTCACTTTCAGTTTTCAAGAAATAAGAAGATGTTGTCCCCAAACCACACCATAGTGACAGAATTCATTCTCTTAGGACTGACAGACGACCCAGTGCTAGAGAAGATCCTGTTTGGGGTGTTCCTGGCGATCTACCTAATCACACTGGCAGGCAACCTGTGCATGATCCTGCTGATCAGGACCAATTCCCAACTGCAAACACCCATGTATTTCTTCCTTGGTCACCTCTCCTTTGTAGACATTTGCTATTCTTCCAATGTTACTCCAAATATGCTGCACAATTTCCTCTCAGAACAGAAGACCATCTCCTACGCTGGATGCTTCACACAGTGTCTTCTCTTCATCGCCCTAGTGATCACTGAGTTTTACTTCCTTGCTTCAATGGCATTGGATCGCTATGTAGCCATTTGCAGCCCTTTACATTACAGTTCCAGGATGTCCAAGAACATTTGCATCTCTCTGGTCACTGTGCCTTACATGTATGGCTTCCTTAATGGGCTCTCTCAGACACTGCTGACCTTTCACTTATCCTTCTGTGGCTCCCTTGAAATCAATCATTTCTACTGCGCTGATCCTCCTCTTATCATGCTGGCCTGCTCTGACACCCGTGTCAAAAAGATGGCAATGTTTGTAGTTGCAGGCTTTACTCTCTCAAGCTCTCTCTTCATCATTCTTCTGTCCTATCTTTTCATTTTTGCAGCGATCTTCAGGATCCGTTCTGCTGAAGGCAGGCACAAAGCCTTTTCTACGTGTGCTTCCCACCTGACAATAGTCACTTTGTTTTATGGAACCCTCTTCTGCATGTACGTAAGGCCTCCATCAGAGAAGTCTGTAGAGGAGTCCAAAATAATTGCAGTCTTTTATACTTTTTTGAGCCCAATGCTGAACCCATTGATCTATAGCCTACGGAACAGAGATGTAATCCTTGCCATACAACAAATGATTAGGGGAAAATCCTTTTGTAAAATTGCAGTTTAGGCCTGTGTTTATTTGTAATCCCTAAGTGCCTGTGGGGTAACAAACTGAAATGGAAAAACCTAGTGTAGTTATTATTTAACAGTATGGGCTCTTAGTAACCACTTTAGTTTCTTCTCAAAATTAACACTTTGAAGATTTAGTTTTTAAAAATAAAAAGCTTAATGTTGAAATTAATAATGTTTTATTTGTCAGAGATTCTATGAATATAAATTGTTTGGTTTCTAATAATTCTGTATGAAAATACTGGGTTTACTTACTTGGGGGTAAACTTTTAACTAACTTAGCCTGAGAGAAACTCTGAAAATCCAACCCCTTTGAATATTACTATCCATAGAGCCATAGTGAGGCTCCAGATAGGGTGGCTAATTTTACATTTTTAAAAAAATGATGCCGGGCATGGTGGCTCACATCTGTAATCCCAGCACTTTGGGAGCCAGAGATAGGTGGATCACCTGAGGTCAGGAGTTTGAGACCAGCTTGGCCAACATGGTGAAACCCCGTCTCTCCTAAAATTACAAAATTAGCTGGTTGTGGTGGCACATGCCTGTAATCCCAGCTACTCAGGAGGCTGAGGCTGGAGAATAGCTTGAACCTGGGAGGCGGAGGTTGCAGTGAGTCAAGATCACGCCATTGTACTTACTCCACTTGGGCGACAAGAGCGAAACTCCATCTCCAAAAAAATAAATAAATAAATAAATAAAAAGAAAACGAAAAAAGAAAAAAATTGTTTCTACTTCAATGTGGTGTCTTGAACAATAGTTCTGAAACCTGTGAACTTATTGTAATCACTGTGCAAAAAATGTAAATATATGAATCACCTATAAGTTAAATTTTCTGTAAGTATTCTCAAAACCCACACTGTAAACATCGTGAGAAGCTTCTTATTGGTTCATGTGGTAATACCAGTTATGGTCCTCAATTCTGAAAATCAACTCTCAACACCCTTTTTTTTTTTTGAGTTTTCAAGTGCATGGATCCATTTCTATCATCAAAATACTTCAATTGCATTCCACGTATGTTTTCCAGTGAAGTACCTCTGACTTAGGAATAATTTAGTAGGAATCAATAGGGTTTATCAATTGATATTTGCATATGCATAAATGACTTTGTTAGTGGAAAAAGGGGTCTTGATCCAGATCCCAGCAGGGGGTTCTTGGATCTACAGAGGAAAAATTTCAAGATAAGCTGCAAAGTGCAGTGAGAAGAGATAGTTCATTAAATGCTACTCCAAAGAGATCATTTATTAAAGGCTATTGCATTACAGAGTAAGGTGTTCCCAGAAAGCAAGTGGAGGAATGCACCCTCTTTAAGTTTTTTTAATGGTCTTTTATCTACGTACAGACTAAAGTAAGTTGTGGCTACATGTGGGTAGGCTGACGGCATGACAAAATTTATCATTCTGTTGATTTAAAGAAAACGATCCTTGATATTTTAGTGTGTGCATAACTATTATTATCATGATAAAAGCATATACTCTTATGAGAATTGGGACACCTAGGTTCTCTTGCTGCATTATTAGCGTGTTCTTGTAGGTATTTTTAGGCTGTTTCCTAAACTATAAGCATCTTATGAACATGGGTCATGACCGGCCAGGACTGTGCCTTGTTAACCTCAAGACAGAGTTGATTTTAAAATGTTGTCACCCTGGATCTCCTAGACTCCTGCTTCTTTAACACCCTGAAACAGTATAAAAATTAATAGGGGCGTACGTATCTTTTTGGAGGAAATAGTGTTTATTTTGCTTCACACAACTGTCTGTGGCACATTATTTTTTTACATTAGGGTATTCTAGTTCTCAAAGCTACTACAGGGAAAATCAATCACAAAGAGGCTAAATAAAGATACACATTAATCAATGTATTATTTAGTCAACCAGATGACTGCATATTAATACATACATATTTAGCCCTATTAAATTGCCTCTTATGTTTGACATTTTAATATTTTGCACTCTGCTTTTAACTAACACTATACAGAAAATGCTACAGAAAATGCTTATATGATATCAACTACTGTATCTACTATAAAATGTTCAAGTGGTTTTCCAGAATATTAAACAGATGACTAACAGTTTTTGTAAAATTGGGTTATATTCTTAAGTGTCAGTTGGTTGAATAAGTCTGGTTCTATCCAAATCTGCTTTTAGAAACAGTAACTGAAAAAGAAAGAAGGCAATTTTGGGCAGCAACAATTTAATATTTACCTTTTAGCACTATTTGTGTATTTGCCTGGTTTTGGCAATGGCAGTGGCACAACAGAAGCAGGTGATCTGTAGAGACAAGAGTGAAGCAGAAGAGCTGGGAACTGAGTGACACAGCGTCCTTACTTCCTTTTAGAGGCCCAGCATCATTTCATCTGTGGGATATTTCTTTATCTTATGACAACATCATTTAATCTGTGGGATAGCTCTTTATATTATTCTTTTATCTTCCTCTTTTGGTTAGGCAAAGCATTGTGTTCAATTTCTAGCAAGTAGAGTGGTCTGATACTCTATTTGAAAACTGTATTTTAGAATTGGTACAAACACACTCTATATTTTGCCTAAATAACTGTATACTTCCTTTTATTTTCTAGTTATGAGAATTGCTGTGGCTTGCAGCAACCAAACTTAAACTTTGACACCTTTGTAACCCAAATGCTTGACCTGTTTGTAATCTCTTTTTTTTAAAATATGTATTTATTTATTCTATTTGTAATTTAATTTTTTAATTGTGCAAGCCCTTGGGTAAAAGTTATCTCAGAAATTCTTTGGAGATAGAATAGAACATAAATGGACATGAATAGAAATAGTGACAATTGATGTAATCATAGTGTATTGCTAATTTTAGGATTACTGTTTTTTCTTTTCTTAAATGAAAATGAAGTAGTGAGAGAATTATTATCTTCATTTACAATATTTGGAGTCTTAGACACAGAGAGATGAAATGACTTGCCTAACGTCATTTGGCCACTCAGTAGCACAAAAGCAGATTTCTTGGTTTTAAATTTTCTCTCTTTCTAATTCATACTGAAGTGGTTATTAAGCCATTCTTCAACACACTTCAAATGCTGGGGGGAATATTGGAGACTATGAATTAATAAGAGTGTTACTATAGATTAAATAGTGGTTATTATGTGATAGTGAGATGTATCCTAACAACAGCTAATGTGAATTTTCCCTGACAGTCAGGCTAATGTGATCATTTATATGCATGATAATTAAAATTGTCTTAATATCCATGTGAAGGGAGAAAATTTTGATATATGGGAAACCTTTATGCTTCTTAGGCTGCATTTTATTAATATATTTTCCCAATTATAAAAGCACACATATTTATATTAATTAATTTCCAGGTACAGACAAATATAAAAACATAAAATTTATTAAGGACCTGCTATGACAAGGAATAAGTTTTGTTTATATTTTGTTATATTTCTTCTCAATAAATGTATATGACTACATGTTACTATAATGCACAAAACAAATATAAAGTTACTCACCATATAATAATATGAATACAGATTTTCATTTGATACTATAATGTATGCACCTTTACATAGATTAAATATTTTATGAACATTTTTAATGTCATATTTTAATTAGCTTGTGTGATCCTAATACAATATTAATACATGTCAAATGTAGAAAACCAATGAACCATATTGGCATACATAAGAAATAGAAGCAATGCTTACTTGTAATCAACTACCTGAAAAGAGTTGCTCTCAGCATTCACATGTGTTTTATTCCATTTGATTATCTTGCAAATCATGATTCCATCATATCAATGTATCTTAGTATTTTGATGACCGACGTATCTGTACGTCTCTCTCTAATTGTTCCTTTTGTTATGTTCCCAGAAGTGTAATTGCTGAATTAAATGTTTTGAACATTTTTAAAGGTCTTGCTAAACATTTCTATGGATAAATTTTTATCCAGAAAGCTTGTAACAAACCTGTACCACTAATGTTTGAAAACAATCATTTTACTATAACTCTATCAGCAGTAGGAGCTCTTGTTTATGGTTATATGCTACTTTGATCTCTCAAAGGAAGTTTTAGAAACAAACTCTGTTTTAATTTGCACAGATTAGAAATTGAAGAATATATTTAACAAATAAAGGCTACATATAATAATTTTCTTTCATGTTATGATGGTGTCTTACATGAAGAATATTTGTATTTTTATGGAGAAAAATTATATTTTGTTTATTGTTGTTTTGTAACTTTTTCTTATGCCACAATTGAATAAACAAGCACTTATATGGGGTTATTGGCTTTCATTGCAATATTTTATGGGAATATCATGAATTATCCTGGATATAATTTTGTTGCATGTTTTAATGTTGTAAATTACTTTTGTGCCCTCACATTTTTAACCAACTTCCTCCAAGTGTTATTAAGCACTGCTTTCCCACTGATTTGTGATGTCACCTTTATTATACCTTAAGTCAATCTATTTCTGCCCATTTCCACTGTTTTTTTTGTCTGAATTATAAATATATTTTAAACTAAATTCTTATCATTAAATTGAACATATATTTTAATTTCTGGTGAAGATATTTTTGTCTTCAATTTTCTCTTAGGAGATTGAAAATCAGATACTTTTAGCTATCCAAATTTTTAACTCAGAAATTATAATATTATGATTCAATTTAGAAACTGTATGTATAGTTGTATAATTTTGAATGTAGTTGTACATACAATACTTATACATTATAAAGCAATTAAAAAATAAGGAAAATTATTTTACTGTCTATGGTGGCCATAGGGAGAACTGCTTAAGGATGAAATATTTTGAATGAGTTGTTTGTTTTCCAGAAAGTCAGGAAGATGCTGGTGTCTGGTAAGTGAGGAGAAAACACCTAACCTTGGTATATTAATTCTATGGATTTATTAACACTGTTATACAAATACTTATGTTTTCACCATACCAGTGTATGGTGAAATCATCATGTAACATTTTTTTTCAACAAATATCTCTAAATACAGTCTCTTTTTCTTACAAAGAGGTTTTTTTCCCAGCAATTACCCCCAAAAGAACTGAGAGGGCCACATATGTTTTTCCACTATGAGTCACTTCAAACACTGAACAAAAAAGGATTAATCAGAAAGACAATAAATATTTAAATTTAAATAATCAGAGAATAATATATCTGTGCTTCATAACAGTGGGAAAAATTTGTAGTAAAAAGAGTAAGCAAATTGCTTTAATTTGAAGATAAAACTATTTAAAATTAAGAGGCACCCTACAATTTGGCAATGTATTTGCCACAAACAAGATAAATTGGTAAAATTATTGAAATACAAGAAATTAATAAAAATAATTTGAAGCACTAAAGAATCAATATATAAATATCAAAGACTATAAGTAAAAAATTGATTAAAATACAAAAATGCTAAAATTAACACACAAAATATTAGCAACCAAAAATATGATGTAAGATATTGTTTGATATATCTACATTTAAAAGAGCTGATATAGATTGGCACTTTCATACATTGATTGATTAAGGGTATAAAGTTTTTCTGAAAATAAATTTAATATTTAATAGGTTGGTACAAAAGTAATCTTGTTTTTTTGCCATTAAAAGTAACAGCACTTATTTTTTTTCTTACCAACCTAATATTATTATCATATTAAGGAGACAAAATTTTCTTATGCTTTTATTCAGCTATTTCAATTTTAAGAATCTACTGAAGGCATAAGAAACTTGTGTGAAGAGTTTCATGGTGTTGTTTTTATTTTATAATCAAGACAAAGTAAACACATGATGTATTAAATACAAATAGTTCCTGCTTGGCATGGTACCATGTAACAGAAACCTTTCCATACTGGAAACGTGTCTTAGTTTTTGTGGTTCTTAGTTCCTACAAAATCACAAAGTGAGAACTGCCTGCATTTAATAACTGGTAAAATACAGGCATCCACCAGATGGGATAGAAGCTGTCTCTAACTAAGTAGAATGTCATTAGCCTTGATCATGAAGGAAAGTGTAAAGTACAGGTGAAACGTTTTTTGTAATAGAAAGTTATACAGCCATTAAAGTGAGGATGTTCCTAGTTAAGAAAAAGGTAATTCATTTTATGTAATATATTATGTGCAAAGATATATCCTATGCTGTATACAGTGTGATATCTTGTAAAATATTAGGGATAAGGGGAAATAAAACTTGTTATTAATAGCTATGTCCATATTTAAATAGTCATTGCTATTGTGAGAAAATAAGGCAACAAAAACTGTGTATTTTCAGTTTAGTCCAGATCTCAGGATGTATAATTACAGGATACTTATTTATTAATATTGGAATTTAAATATGAAAGTAAGGAAAAGCAAGGAAAAAGCAAGGTAAGAAAAAGAAGAGGTCCCCAATTCTGGTTTCCAGCACAGAATGACCAATGAACAACTTCTCAGAGAAAAATGCCCATGTGAAAATTCCGTAACCCATGGGTGAGGTGGGGCACACTCTTGGAGCATAAAAACTGGAAAAAACCACATTAGAATTGTTAAGAGGAGCAGTTTCACTTGCTTCTTTCCCAGCCAAACACAGTGTCACACTGAAAGAGATTCCCTGGGCCTGTGGTTTCCCCAGTGAAGAAAAGAGAGCCCACGGCAGACATCCAGCTTCCCTATGTTCCAGAGAACTTCCCAAGAGGCCCATTCTGTCTAACCTTGTGGGTAATAACGGAAGACTTGGCAAAGCTTGGCCACCCCAGTCAGCTCATAACAAAGTTAAGGGGTGTAGCTTACGGCAACCAGCACCCGATCTTGGTGGTGGCATCATGTTCTAGCTGGCAGCTTTATGTGACCAGAGAGCCCAGCCACTAGCATTGCTCACATGTGGAGCTGAGTTGGCAGGCCCTTTCGGTCAGGAGGCATGTTGAACAGTTCTGTCTGGCTGTGGTACCAGTCAGTAAGCTGGACCAGCTGCAGAGCACAGCCTAGAGCACCACCCAACCATAAAGCACAACTTGCAGCCCACCCCACTCAGGTAGAGATCCAAGCCAGCAACCCCACTCAACCGCTGGGCATAGCCTGCAGTCCCATCTGACGACGGAGTCTGGTCAATTATCTCTCCAAACTACAGAGCACATCCAGTAAAACTTCCCAATTATGGATCAGCTTGCAGCCCCAAAAAACTGCAGGAAATAGCCAGTGGCCCTATCTGGCCAAGAGATCTGGTCAGTGATCTCACCTAAATTTGGAGCAAAGGCAGTGACCCCATCAATCTGTGGACCACAGCCAGCAGCCCCACTCGAATACATACCACAGTGAATGGTCTTACCTGATTATGGAGCCCAGTCAGCAGCCCTGAGTGATTTTGGATCCTAGCCAGCATACTCACCCACCTCAGAGCACAGGCAGCAGTCAGAGGTCATGTGACTAGAGTCAGCTTTCAAATTCATCAAGTCCTGGTTCCACCTCTTACTCCCTATGAAATCTCAGGCAAATTATTTAACCTCTACTCCTATGCCCCAATTTGTTTGTTTGTTTGTTTTCACAGTACTTATCATCACCTGCCATATATTTGTTTGTGGGTGTATTTGTCATCTATCTCCTCCAGCAAAAAACATTATCAATAAAGTAGTTTTTAATTTTTTTTGAGCAACAGCTATATTGAGTTATATAGTGGCTATACTAATTTACATTTTTGCCAATAATGTACGAGCATTCCTTTTTCTGTGTATCCTTGCAAACCTCTGTTCATTTTTTTGTCTTTTTAATGACAATCATTACAAATTGGTTGAGGTTATACTTCATTATGGTCTTGATTTGCATTTCATTTATGATTAGTGAATTAAACCTTTTTTTCATATACCTGCTGACAATTTGAATATCTTCTTTTTGAAGCTTTTGATAAAATCCAACATCTCTTCATAATAATAATAATAAAAAAATACTCAACAAACTAGGCATTGAAGAGACATACCTCAAAATAATAAGAGCCATCTATGGCAAACCCACAGCCAACATCATACTAAATGGGAAAAAGCTGAAAGCATTCCACCTAATAAATGGAACAAGACAAAGATGTCCTCTCTCATCATTCCTATTTCACATAGTACTGCAAGTTCTAGCCAGAGCAATAAAGCCAGAGAAAGAAATATAAGGCATCCAAATAGGAAAAGAAGTCAAGCTATCTCTCTTCACTGATAATATGATTTTATACCTAGAAAACCCTAAAGACTACACCAAAAAGCTCCTAGATCTGATAAACAACTTTATTAAAGTTTCAGGATACAAAATCAATGTATAAAAATATTAGCATCTCTATACTCCCATAACATTCAAGCTGAGAGCTAAATCAAGAATGTAATCCCATTTACAATAGCCACACGCACAAAAATAAAACACCTAGGAAAACAACAAACCAAGGAGGTGAAAGATCTCTACAAGGAGAACTACAAAACACTACTGGAAGAAATCATAGATGATATAACAAATGGAAAATCATCCCATGTTTATGAATTAGAAGAATCAGAATGCTAAAACAGCTATATTGCCTAAAGCAATCTACAGATTCAACACTATTGCCATCAAGCTAATGACACTATTTACATAGAATTTGAGAAAACTTGCCTAAAATTTATATGGAGCCAAAAAAGAGACTGAATAGTCAAAGCAATCCTAAGCAAAAAGAACAATACTGGCAGCATCAAATAACCCAACTTCGAACTATACTACAAGGCTACAGTAACCAAAAAAGCATGGTACTGGTACAAAGAAAGACCCATAGACAAAATGAAACAGTGAACCCAGAAATAAAGTCAGACATCTACAACTGTCTGATCTTTAATAAGTTGATAGTAATAAACAATAGGGAAAGAACTACCTATTCAATAAATGGAGCCAGGATAACTATTTAGCCATGTGCAGAAGAGTGAAACTGGACCCATACCTGTCACCACATATAAAAATTAACTCAAGATGGATTAAAGACTTAAATATAAGGCCTAAAGCTATAAAAATCCTGGAAGAAAACTGAGGAAATACCACTCCGGACATTGGCCTCAGCAAAAAATTTATGAATAAGTCTCCAGAAGCAATTGCAATAAAAATAAAAATTGAAAAATGGGATGTAATTAAACTAAAGAGCTACTGCATAGAAAATAAATTAACAGAGTAAGCAATCTAAAGAATGAAAGAAAATGTTCAAAAATGATAAATCCAACAAAAATCTAATATCCAGAATATATAAGAAACATAAACAATTCAACAGGCAAGAAACCTCCCCCTAAAACCATTAAAACACATGGACACAGGGAGGGGAACATCACACACTGGGGCCTTTTGTGGGGTGGGAGGCTAGGTAAGGGATACCATTAGGAGAAATACCTAATGTAGATAACGGATTGATGGGTGCAGCAAGCCACCATGGCATGTGTATACCTGTGTAACAAACCTGCACGTTCTGCACATGTACCCCAGATCTTAAAGTATAATAAAAAATAGGCAAAAGACATAAACAGACACTTCTCAAAATGAAGCATACATGTGGCCAAAAAATATATTAAAAATACAGTATCATTAATCATCAGAGAAATGTATATCACAACTACAATGAGATAACATCTCACACCGGTCAGAATGGCTATTATTAAAAAGTGAAATAAATAACAGACATTGGTGAGGTTGTGGAGAAAATGGAATCCTTATACACTTTTGGTGGGAATGTAAATTAGTTCATCCACTGTGGAAGCAGTTTGGAAATTTCTCAAAGAACTTAAAACACAAGTACCATTTGACCCAGCAATCCTATTACTGGGTATAAACCCAAAGGAAAGTAAATAATTTTACCAAAACCACATGCACTTGTGCAATCATTGCAGCACTATACACTGTAGCAAAGACATGGAATCAACGTAGATAACCATCAATGATGAACGGGATAAAGAAAATATGATACATACACACTATTGAATACTATGAAGCCATGAAAATGAAATCATGTCTTTTGCAGCAACATAGATGCAGCTGAAGGCCATTATCCTAAGTGAATTAATGTAGGAACAGAAAACCAAATGTGCCCATGTTCTTATTAAAGGTATGAGAGAAACATTGAATACACATGAAAAATAAAGGAGAACAAGCAACACTGGGGGTTAATAGAGGGGGAAGAGCTGGGGAGTGCAGACTGAAAAATGATCAGACCAATGGAACAGAATAGAGAGCCCAGAAATAAGACCACACATCTATGACCATCTGATCTTCAACAAAGCTGACAAAAACAGGCAATGGGAAAAGGACTCCCTATTTAATAAATGGTGCTGGGATAACTGGCTAGCCATATGCGGAAGATTGAAGCTGGACCCCCTTCCCTATACCACACACAACAATCAACTCAAGATGGATTAGAGACTTAAATGCAAAACCCCAAACTGTGAAAACCCTAGGAGAAAATGTCGGCAGTATCATCCTAGAAAAAGAAATGGGCAATGATTTCATGACAAAGACACAAAAAGCAATTGCAAAAAGAAAAAAGCAAAAATTGACAAGTAGGATCTAATTAAACTTAAGAGCTTCTTCACAGCAAAACAAACTGTTAACAGAGTAAAAAGACAGCCTATGGAATAGAAGAAAATATTTCCAAACTATGTATCTGACAAAGGTCTAATATTCAGCATGTTTAAGAAACTTAAATTTACAAGAGAAAAGCAAACAACACATTTAAAAGTGGGCTAAGATGCTGGCAACAGTGGCTCATGCCAGTAATCCCAGCACTTTGGGAGGCAGAGGCAGGTGGATTATCTGAGGTCAGGAGTTCAAGACCAGCCTGGCCAACATGGCAAAACCCTGTTTCTACTAAAAATACAAAAAATAACTGGGCATGGTGGTGCGTGCCTGTAATCCCAGCTACTCTAGAGGCTGAGGCTGGAGAATCACTTGAACTCAGGAGGTAGAGGTTGCAGTGAGCCGAGATTGCACCACTGCACTCCAGCCTGGGCGACAGAGTGAGATTCTGTCTCATAAATAAATAAATAAATAAATAAATAAATAAAATACATAATAAAAGTGGGCAAAGAACATAAACACTTCTCAAAAGAAGACATACATGCAGCCAACAATTATATGAAAAAAGGTCAATATCACTGATTATTAGAGAAATGCAAATCAAAACCACAATGAGATGCCATCTTACACCAGTCAGAATGACTATTATTAAAAAGTAAAAAAATAACAGATGCTGGTGAGGTTGCAAAAAAAAAGGAACATTTTTATACTGTTAGTGGGAGTGTAAACTCGTTCAGCCACTGTGGAAAGCAGTATGGCAATTCCTCAAAGAGCTAAAAGCAGAACTACCATTTGATCCAACAATCCCATTACTAGGTATATACCCACAGAATTATAAATCATTCTACCATAAAGATACATTCATGTGACTGTTCATTTTGGTACTATTCACAATAGCAAAGGCATGGAATCAACTTAAATGCCCATCAATGACAGTTTGGATAAAGAAAATGTGGTGCATACACACCATGTAATACTACATAGCCATAAAGAAGAAGAAGATCGTGTCTTTTGCAGGAACATGGATGGATCTGGAGGCTATTATCTTTAACAAACTAATGCTGAAGCAGAAAACCAAGTACCGTATGTTCTTATTTATAAGTGGGAGCTAAATGATTAGAACTTACAAACACAAAGAAGGAAACAACAGACACTGGGGTCTTCTTGAGGGGGGAGGGTGGGAGGAGGGATAGGAGCAGAAAAGATAATTATGGGTACAAGGCTTAATACTCTGGTGATGAAATAATCTGTGCAACAAACTCCCATCACACATGTTCACCTATGTAACAAACCTTCACATGTATCCCCAAAACTAAAATAAAAGTTTTTTTTTTTTAAAGGAAAACTGTTGGGTACTATGCTCACTACCTGGGTGATGGGATCATTTGTATACCAAATATCAGTGACATTCAATTTACCTATGTAACAAACTTGCACATATACCCCTGAAACTAAAAATAGAAAAAATTATTAAAATAAAACAAAAAAGAAAAAAGATGAAAAAGAGATATCTATAATCATTTGCACATTTCAATCAGATTTTTAAAAATTTATTTATTTTGAAATTGAGTTGTTCAAATTTCCTATGTAACCTGAATATTAGTCCCTTGTCAGATGAATGATTTGTAAGTATTTTCTCCCATTGTGTAGGTTGTCTTTTCACTCTATAGATTACTTCTTTTGCTGTGCAGAGATTTCTTTTGTTTGATGAAATCCTGTTTATCTATATTTGGTTTTGTTGCCTGTGCTTTAGAGGCCTTATCCAAAAACTCTTTACCTAGACCAATGTCTAAAAGTATTTTCCCAGAGTTTTCTTCTAGTAGATTTATAGTTTCAGGTCATACATTTGTCTTTAAAACATTTTGATTAGATTTTTGTATAGTAGTCTATGATAGTCTTTTATATGTCTGAGGAATTGATTGTAATGTCACCTTTGTCATTTCTGATCGTGCTGATTTGGATCTTCTTTCTTATTTTCTTTGTTAATCTAGCTAGCAGTCTATCCATTTTGTGTATCCTTTCAAATAAACTTTTGGTTTTATTGGTTTTTGGATGTATTTTGGGGTCTCAGTTTCATTCAGTTTTACTCTGATTTAGTTATTTATTTTCTTTTACTGGCTTTGGAGTTAGTTTGTTGTTTTATAGTTCCTCTAGGTGAGATGTTAGATCATTAATTTGAGAACTTTCTAACTTTTTGAGGGAAGTGTTTAGCGCTGTACACTTTCCTTTTAACACTGATTTTGCTGCATCCCAGAGATTTCGGTAAGTTGTGTCTCTGTTTTTATTTATTTCAAATATATATTTTGTTAATTTCTGGTTTAGTTGTTTGCCCAAAAGTCATTCAGTAGCAAATTGTTTAATTCCCGTATAATTTTGTGGTTTTGAGAGATCTTGGTATTGATTTTTATTTTTATTCCAGTGTTCTCCAAGAGGGAGTTTGACATGATTTTATTTCTTAATTGATTGACACTGGCTTTATGGCCTAGTATGTGATCAACCTTCCAGTATGTTCCAGGTGCAGAGGACAAGAACGTATATTCTGTGGTTATGGGTGGAGTACTCCGCAGATGTCTATTAGGTCCAATTAATCAAGTGTCAAATTTAAGTCCAGAATTTATTAGTTTTCAGACCTTGATGACCTAAGGCTGTAATTGGGGTGTTGAATTCCCCTACTGCTATTGTGTGGCTTTTTAGGTCTTTTTGTCAGTCTAGAAGTACTTGTTTTATGAATTTGGGTGCTCCAATGTGGGGTGTGTATATGTGTAGGATAGTTAAGTCTTCTTGTTTAATTGAACCCTATGTCATTAGGCAGTGCCCTTTTTGTCATTTTTTCCAGTTTTTGGTTTACAGCTTCTTTTATCTGACATAACAATAGCAACCCCTGCTGTCTTTTATTTTTCATTTGTCTAGTAGATTATTTTTCATCCTTTTACTTTGAGCCTATGTGAGATAGATCTCTTGAAAATTGCAGATGGATGGATCTTATTTTTTATCTAACTTGCTACTCTAGTATATGCCTGTCTTTATAGGTAAATTTCTTGAAGACAGCACATACTTGAGTATTGATATTTGTTTGTTTGTTTTTCTTTTGTTTTACTTTTTTTTCCATTGAGCAGTCACTCAGCGTCTTTTAATTGTAGAATTTTGTCTATTAACATTGAAGAGTATTATTGTTAGGTAAGAGTTTACTACTGCCATTTTGTTATTTCTTCGCTTGTTGTTTTCTAAATCCTTTATTTCTTGTGTTCTATCTTACTGTATTACTCTGTAGTTAAGTAATTTTCTTTAGAAGTATGTTTTGATTCCATGCTATGTTTTTGTGTATCTGTCATAGGTTTTTGTTTTGTGGGTACCGTGAGGTTTACAAAAAAAATCTATAGTATAACAGTTCGTTTTGAACAGATAATGACTTAATTTTGATTGCAAATAAAAGCATCAAAAACCAACTCTACACTTTTAATATGCCCTACACACATTTTGACTTTTGGTGTTTCAATGTACATGTTTTTATATTGCCTACTTCTAAACTGTAGTTATTGATGGTTTTAATAGTTTTGTATTTTATTCTTCATACTTATGATACAAGTGGTTTATTTACCACAATTATAGTATGACAGTATTCTGATTTTGAATGTTCTTTTACGAGGGAATTTTATACATTCCAATGTTTTCCTGTTACATGTTAGTACCCATTTCTTTCAGACTGAAGAACTCTCTTTAGCATTTCTTGAAAAACAGGTCTGGTGTTGATGAATTTCCTCAGCTTTTGTTTTTCTGCGAAAAAAAAATCTTTATTTCACCTTCATGTTCGAAGAATAACTTTAATGCACATAATATTCTTCCTTGAAAGATTTTTTCTCTTATCATCTTGAGTATAGCATACCATTTCCTCTTGACCTGCTAGCTTCTGTGAGAAATCTGCTGAAAGCCATATTCAAGCTCTGTATTACTCTGTTCTCACATTGCTAAACAAAATTACCTTAGCCTGAGTAGTTTATAAAGTGAAGAGGTTTAATTGACACACAGTTCCACAGGCTGTACAGGAGGCATGGCTGGGAGGCTTCAGGAAACTTACAATCATGATGGAAGGTGAAGGGGAAGCAAGCACATCTTCACATGGCGACAGAGGAGAGAGGGTAAAGGGGAAAGTGCTACACACTTTTAAACAAACAGATCTCATGAGAACTCTATCATAAGATAGCACTAGGGGAATGGTATTAAACTATTAGAAAACACCCCGATGATCCATTCACCTCCCACCAGGCCCCACCTCCAAAACTGGGGGATTACAATTCAATATAAGGCTTAGGTGGGAACACAGAGTCAAACCATATCATTCTGTCCCGGTCCCTCCCAAATTTCATGTTCTTCTCACATTTCAAAACGCAATCATGTCTTCCCAATAGTTCCCCAAAGTTTTAACTCATTCCAGCACAAACTTAAATGTCCAATTCCTCATGTCCAAATGTCCAAATGTCCAAAATCTCATCTGAGACAAGGTCCACAGGTAAGCCTGTAAAACTAAAAACAAGTTATTTACTTCTAAGATACAAGGGAGTTACAGGCAGTGGATAAATGCTTCTGTTCCAAAAGGAAGAAATTGGCCAAAATAAAGGAGCTACATATGCCATGCAAGTCCAAAATCCAGAAGGGCAGTCATTAAATCTTAAAGCTCCAAAATAATCTCCTTTGACTCCATGTTTCACATCCAGGCCACACTAATGCAAGGGTTGCTCTCTCAAGGCCTGGGGCAACTCCACCCTCATGGCTCTGCAGGGTGCAGCCCTGTTGGCTGCTTTCACAGGCTGATTTTGAGTGCTTGTGGCTTTTCCAGATGCATGGCACAAGCTGTGAGTGGAGCTACCATTCTGGTTTCTGAAAGATAGTGTCCCTTTTCTTACAGATCCATTACGCAGGACCCAGTGGGAACTCGGTGTGGGGGCTCCAACCCCACATTTTCCTTCTGCATTGCACTAGTAGAGGCTCTCTGTGAGGATTCTGCCCCTGCAGCAGACTTCTGCCTGGATATCCAGGCATTTGCATACAACCTCTAAAACTTAGGCAAAAGCTCCCAAGCCTTAATTCATGTCTTCTGCACACCCACAGGCCAGACACTATGTGGAACTTGCCAAAGCTTGGGGCTTGCACCCTCTGAAGCAATGGCCCAAGCTGTACCTTGGCACTTTTTAGTCCTGACTGGAGTTGGAGTGGCTAGGACGCAGGTCATCATGTTCTGAGGCTACACAGAGCACTGCAGACCTGGGTCTGGCCCCCGACATCATTTTTTCCTATTTGCCCTCTGAGCCTATGATGGGAGTGGCTGTAATAAAGGTCTCTGAAATTTCTTGGAGGCATTTTCCCCACTGTCTTGGCTATTAACATGTAGCTCCTCTTTATTTATGCAAACTTCTGCAGCCTTGAATTCCTCCCTATAAAATGGGTTTTTCTTTTCTACCACATGTTCAGGCTGCAAATTTTTCAAACTTTCATGCTCTGCTTTCCTTTTAAATATAAATTCCAATTTCAGACCATCTCTTTGAAAATAGAGAAGAAGCCAGGCTAATTCTTGAATGCTTTGCTGCTTAGAAATTTCTTCCACCAGGTACCTGAATTCATCTCTCTCAAATTCAAAGTTCCACAGCTCTCTAGAGCAGGGGCACAATGCCACCAGTCTCTTTGTTAAAGCATAGCAAGAGTTACCTTTACTCCACTTCCTAATAAGTTCTACATCTCCATCTGAGACCACCTCAGCCTGGACTTCACTCTCCATATTACTATTAGTATTTTGTTCACCACCACTCAACAAGTCTCTAGGAAGTTCCAAACTTTCTCCTCTTCCTGTCTTCTTCTGAGCCCTCCAAACTGTTCCAACCTCTGCTTGTTACCCAATTACAAAGTCGATTCCACATTTTTGGGTATCTATAGGAATGCCCCACTTCTCTGGTACCAATTTTATGTATTAGTCCATTCTCACATCACTGTAAAGAACTAACTGAGATTGAGTAATTTATGAAGAAAAGAGGTTTAATCGATTCACCGTTCCTTAGGCTGTATAGGTAGCATGGTTGAGAAGGCCTCAGAAAACTAACAATCATGGTGGAAGGGCAAAGGGAAAACAAGCACATGGCAAGAGGAGAAAAACAGAGCGAAGGGGGAAGTGCTACACACTTTTAAATAACAGATATTGTGAGAACTCTAACACAAGGCAACACTAGGGGAATGGTGCTAAACCATTAGAAATCACCCCCATGATCCAATCACTTCCCACCAGGTCCCACCTCCAGCAGTAGGAGACGGCAAATTTAGATGAAATTTGGGTGGAGACACAGAGCCAAACCATATCAGTCTCCATTAAATGTGATATTTTTCTCTTGCTGATTTGAATATTATTTCTTTGTCTTTGATTTTTCCTAATTTGATTACAGTGTAACCTGAGATATTACTGTTTGTATTGAATTTGATTGGTGAGCAATGGTCTTTTCTACCTAGATGCTATTGTGTTTCTCCAGAACTGAGAAATTTTCAGTTATTATTTCAATAAGTATAGTTTCTAGGCCTTTTTATCTCTCATTCCATTTGGATATTTCAATCATGCAAAAGTTAATGTACTTGATTGTGTCCCATAATTTTCATAGGCCTGCTTTACTTTTTTTTTTTTTTCAGCTCCTCTGAGAAGTTAGTTTCAAATGTTCTATCTTCAAGCTTACTGATTCTTTCCTCTGTCATCAAAACTATGGGCACGGTGGCTCACGCCTGTAATCCCAGCACTTTGGGAGGCCGAGACGGGTGGATCATCTGAGGTCAGGAGTTTGAGACCAGTCTGGCCAACATGGTGAAACCCCATCTCTACTAAAAAAATACAAAGAATTAGCTGTTTGTGATGATGGGCACCTGTAATCCCAGCTACTTGTGAGGCTGAGGCAGGAGAATCCCTTGAACCCGGGGGGCAGAGTTTGCAGTGAGCCAAGATCGTGCCATCGCAGTCCAGCCTGGGCAACAAGAGCGAAACTCTGTCTCAAAAAAAGAAAAAGGATAGAGGAGGTTGGGAAGAGGGAGGCAGGGAGTCAGCGTCATAGCAATGGGTGAGAAAGATGAAAGATGTGTGGCCATTGCTGGCTTTGGAGGTAGAATGCGGGCAGCCTCCAAAACCTGGAAAAAGCAAGAAAGTAGATTTTCCCCGAGAACCTCCAAAAAGAAAGCAGTACTGCCGACACCTTGATTCTAGCCCAGTAAGAAGCATTTTGGGCTTTGGACATCCAGAAATGCAAGACAAAATTTGTGTTGTTTTAAGGGATTAAATCTGTGATAGTTTATTATGGCAGCAACAGAAAAAGAATATACCTGTCAAAACTGGGTTCCCATCTTCAAAGGCTTCCCCTCTGCTTGCCGTCCAGTCCACAGCTCCACTTGCAGGCGCAGTACAGTTGGCTTTCGAGCAGGGCTTGGATTGAAAATTCAGCATGTAAGGAAGAAGTCTAGAGTCCAGACGAACCTTGAACACCCCTTAATTGCCCCTCCCGTCGAGAGCAGGGACCAGGATCCACTGAGTGTAGAGCAGAGCAACAATCCTCAAGGTGTCCTCACCCCCAGGCACCCTCCCACAGGGCTCAACCAGCTAACCTCTTTCCACCCTTTGAATTGTCTCTCTCTCCCTTCAGGCATATAATTAAATTTGCATAAATTCAAAGAGCATATGCTGCAATCCCATTGTAATTTCAGATTTGTTTTTATTTCCTGAGTTTGCTAAGGAAATAATAAAAACAAAACCTCCTTAAAAAAAAAAAAAAGATTTCTAATGAGTTTTTAAGTTCAGTTTTTGTATTCTTTATTTCTGGGATTAATATTTTTAAACATTGTTTTTATTTCTCTTTCCAATTTCTTATTTTCTTCCTGAATTATTTTCCTTTTTTTTTAGTTTTCTGTTTTCTTATAATTTCTTTTTTTAACATTTTTCTTTCTTTAAATATTTTTTTAAATTCCTTATTTCCTCAGAGATCTTTGTTCTGACCTGTAATTTCTTGAACTTCTTTAAGAGGCTTATGCTGAATTCATTGTCAGACATTTAATAGATCTTTAATTGTTCAGGGTCCATTGTTGAGCCTCTGTTGATTTCTTTTGGTGGTGTCATATTTCCCTTGGTTTTTATAATCTTCGCATATTTATGTCGATGCCTGTGCATTTGAAGAGAGAGACACTTCCAGTTTTCGCAGGTGTTCTTTGTTGGTCTTAGATCTTTAGTTCTTAGTATTCTTTTTTTTTTTTTAAGACAGAGTCTTGCTCTGTTACCCATGAATGCAGTGGTGTGATCTTGGGTTACTGCAGCCTCTGGCTCCCAGGTTCTTCCAGCGATTCTCCTGCCTCAGCCTCCCAAGTAGCTGGGATTACCGGCATACAGCACTACGCCTGGCTAATTTTTGTATTTTTAGTAGAGATGAGGTTTTACCATGGTGGCCAGGCTGGTCTCGAACTCCTGGCCTCAGGTGATCCACCCGCCTTGGCCACCCAAAGTGCTAGGATTACAGGCGTGAGCCACTGTGCCTGGCCAGTATTCACTCTTAAATGTTGACTTGTTGTTGCTTCTGCTGGGGTAGGCTTATAGTGACCACTGCAACTAAATTTCTCTTCTGTCATTGTTTCCTAGTGTGGGGAAGTCTTATTTTGTGCACTGAAGCTTAAATACTGTGTTGGGACTATATTGCTGTGCTGTCATTGTTTCCAATTCCGGAAAGTTATTAATCCCAGTCTTTTAATTGTTTTGGGGCCAGGCTGGGGGAGGCTTCATGAAAGAACCTTGGGTTTGTGGAAAATCCGGCTAAGAATTCTTGCTGTACTGCCAACTGTGCTTCCTGTATTTCTATGACACTAATCGGTCTGTTAAATGTGGCATCTCTACTAATTACAGTGCTGAGTAGCCACCAGGCTCCATGCATCAGGTACTGCATTCAGTGTCCTATTCTTTGTTCTCAGTTCACCTCAGATGATTCAATTCTCCTAGCACTCCCAAAGGTTTTTATGAGAGAGGACCAGAGTGGATTACTGATGAAGATTCCTAAGCTGGAGGGAGACTGAACATCCAATTCCATTTCCCCCCTTCCTCCTTAGCAGACATAGGTCTAGGGAAATTCTTTGTGAGTGGCATTATACTAGCTTGGGAAAGGGGGTAGTGCAACCGGAAATGACCATTTCTTTTACACTCCACAACTTTCCTTGATTCTGCACTTCTCCTCTGAGTTCTGTTGTATTTACAATGGAGCTCCCATCTTTGAATAGCTTCTAGTTTTATTTTTATGGGGACAGTGATGCTAGGGGATTTTCTATTCCATCATCTTTCTTCTTTCTGACTTTACCCTCCAAAAGTGTAATCCTCAAAATTTCAAGATTTTTTTTTGTATGCCTTCTATGGAGCTCATACAACAAACAATGATACATTTGAAATTATGACAATATGACTGAAGCATAATTAGTTTCCTAATCCCAGAGTCCTTTAATTAAACACAAGAGGGATGATTCCAGAAGTAACACTCATCACTGCTATTCCTTAGTCCCTCTGAGATTTGCTTTAAGAGCAGGTCTCCACCTCTCACATCTTGCTATAAATATGACTGCATTTTAAAGCTTAGAGAAGCACCTAAAAACCTTTTTAATCAAATATCAAGGAAATGAGTATATATCAGAACCAGAATTAAGTCCTTGCATTTTTATGTTCTTTATTTTTGGTTAAAGGGGAAATATATTAATGTATTAACTGAATCTCACAAAATGTTTGCATTTTTATTATTAAAAATCATTTTTTTCTTTTACTTTGCATATCATTGGGGGGCATGAATCAGTTTCTCCTCTGAAAAATTCTCAGTGCCTTCTCTCAGAGGCTGTGAGCAAAGAAGTAGGAAAGGAGGTTAGCTATGAAAAGTGTTAACTCCATTTGTAACAATACTCATTACATGCTTACTATATGCAAATCATTTTTCTAAGCACTTTAAATGAGTAAACTATATTATTCCTCCTAAAAACTCCATTTCTCATTTTATAGCTGGGAACATTAACGTAAGACAGTTTAGATAATTTGACACTGTGGTGGTGGTACGATTTGTTACTGATGAAGCTAGAATCAAAATCACTAATGGGGATTAGATTCATAAAATTGTTACTTTTTGAATACTAAAATATTTACTCAGACATTCAGTATATTAGAGTAGGCCCAGTATCATGTAATCTAATTTATTTTGCAAAAATTGCAAATGAGCGAGATATTAACCAAGTTCAATTAGAAAGTTAGTTGGTGGCAGAGCTGAGCATAGGTTCCAGAGCCACCCAGAACTTTTGTTTGCTTGGGAGAATCTCTGAGCACACCTGGATAGCTTAGGGAATTGCTGCTTTTGGGTATCACTGGTCATTTGCATCTGATCATAGGTACTAGACTGCTGACAAGTTGGCCATTAGTGGACAGGTATATTGAGAGTTGATTTAAGTGTTGCATCTGTCAAGGTTAACACGAAACATTCTGTTGGCCCTGAGTCTCACATTTCAATCTAGAATCCATCTGTGTACTTTACTTTCCTTGCAAATAAATGATCTAGTGAATTTATATATTTTTTCCACTTAGCTCCTAGCACACATCATTTGTATTTCAATCATTTATTTTTCTTCACCATATTAGAACATTTCCAATACCATTAAAGAAGAAGGAAGGCAATGAAAAGGAGACAGAGATAGCCTCATACATTCTCCTTTCGCTGAAAGTAATATCATTTTGAAAACAGACTACGGGTCCCATCTTCTTCCTCTCTAGTTTCCAACAGCATAAAGCTTTGTATGTCTCTGAGGACAAGATAGAAAACTACATTAGCAAATGTTTTCCTTTGCATCTCCTTATTTCAAGTAAATAAGGGACTTATATTTTCAAATATTTTAAGTCACCTTGAAGGTTGCTTCTTAAAAAATAACTGTTTATTATGCTTCTACTCTTCATTTTAAAAATTTTGCTTGTTTCCACCTTTACAAGCAAAAATGGACAAAATCGTATTTTATCCTGCAGTCCTCTAGGACAAATTTAACTTTGGGGTACTCTGTTTCCTAAAAATGCATATATGTAATCTTCTATTTCTAGTAGCAGAGTTTGAACTCAATTAATTTCCCTAACAACAGACTCACTAAAATTCGCTGTGATATTTTTCAAATAGTATTTTATGGAATTATCACTGATGAAATAAAAAACAAAACAAGAAAGACAGGGGAGGAGCCAAGATGGCCGAATAGGAAGAGCTCGGGTCTACAGCTCCCAGCGTGAGCAACACAGAAGACAGGTGATTTCTGCATTTCCATCTGAGGTACTGGGTTCTTCTCACTAGGGAGTGCCAGACAGTGGGCACAGGTCAGTGGGTGCGCACACCCTGCGCGAGCGGAAGCAGGGCGAGGCATTGCCTCTCTCAGGAAGCGCAAGGGGTCAGGGAGTTCCCTTTCCTAGTCAAAGAAAGGGGTGACAGATGGCACCTGGAAAATCAGGTCACTCCCACCCCAATACTGCGCTTTTCTGACGGGATTAAAAAACGGCGTGCCAGATTATATCCCACACCTGGCTTGGAGGGTCCTACACCCACGGAGTCTCACTGATTGCTAGCACAGCAGTCTGAGATCAAACTGCAAGGTGGCAGCGAGGCTAGGGGAGGAGCGCCCGCCATTGCCCAGGCTTGCTTAGGTAAACAAAGCAGCCCTGAAGCTGGAACTGGGTGGAGCCCACCACAGCTCAAGGAGGCCTGCCTGCCTCTGTAGGCTCCACCTCTGGGGGCAGGGCACAGACAAACAAAAAGACAGCAGTAACCTCTGCAGACTTAAATGTCCCTGTCTGACAGCTTTGAAGAGAGCAGTGGTTCTCCCAGCACACAGCTGGAGATCTGCCTCCTCAAGTGGGTCCCTGACCCCTGACCCCCGAGCAGCCTAACTGGGAGGCAACCCCCAGCGGGGGCAGACTGACACCTCACACGGCCGGGTACTCCAACAGACCTGCAGCTGAGGGTCCTGTCTGTTAGAAGGAAAACTAACAAACAGAAAGGACATCCACACCGAAAACCCATCTGTACATCACCATCATCAAAGACCAAAAGTAGATAAAACCACAAAGATGGGGAAAAAACAGAGCAGAAAAACTGGAAACCCTAAAAAGCAGAGCGCCTCTCCTCCTCCAAAGGAACGCAATTCCTCACCAGCAATGGAACAAAGCTGGACGGAGAATGACTTTGACGAGCTGAGAGAAGGCTTCAGACGATCAAACTACTCCAAGCTACGGGAGGACATTCAAACCAAAGGTAAAGAACTTGAAAACTTTGAAAAAAATTTAGAAGAATGTATAACTAGAATAACCAATAGAGAGAAGTGCTTAAAGGAGCTGATGGAGCTGAAAACCAAGCTCGAGAACTACATGAAGAATGCAGAAGCCTCAGGAGCCGATGCGATCAACTGGAAGAAAGGGTATCAGCAATGGAAGATGAATTGAATGAAATGAAGTGAGAAGGGAAGTTTAGAGAAAAAAGAATAAAAAGAAATGAGCAAAGCCTCCAAGAAATATGGGACTATGTGAAAAGACCAAATCTACGTCTGATTGGTGTACCTGAAAGTGATGGGGAGAATGGAACCAAGTTGGAAAACACTCTGCAGGATATTATCCAAGAGAACTTCCCCAATCTAGCAAGGCAGGCCAACATCCAGATTCAGGAAATACAGAGAACGCCACAAAGACACTCCCCCAGAAGAGCAACTCCAAGACACATAATTGTCAGATTCACCAAAGTTGAAATGAAGGAAAAAATGTTAAGGGCAGCCAGAGAGAAAGGTCGGGTTACCCTCAAAGGGAAGCCCATCAGACTAACAGCGGATCTCTCGGCAGAAACTCTACAAGCCAGAAGAGAGTGGGGGCCAACATTCAACATTCTTAAAGAAAAGAATTTTCAACCCAGAATTTCATATCCAGCCAAACTAAGCTTCATAAGTGAAGGAGAAATAAAATACTTTACAGACAAGCAAATGCTGAGAGATTTTGTAACCACCAGGCCTGCCCTAAAAGAGCTCCTGAAGGAAGCGCTAAACATGGAAAGGAACAACCGGTACCAGCCACTGAAAAATCATACCAAAATGTAAAGACCATCGAGACTAGGAAGAAACTGCATCAACTGACAAGCAAAATAACCAGCTAACATCATAATGACAGGATCAAATTCACACATAACAATATTAACTTTAAAAGTAAATGGACTAAACACTCCAATTAAAAGACACAGACTGGCAAATTGGATACCAAGAGTCAAGACCCATCAGTGTGCTGTATTCAGGAGACCCATCTCACGTGCAGAGACACACATAGGCTCAAAATAAAAGGATGGAGGAAGATCTACCAAGCCAATGGAAAACAAAAAAAGGCAGGGGTTGCAATCCTAGTCTCTGATAAAACAGACTTTAAACCAACAAAGATCAAAAGAGACAAAGAAGGCCATTACATAATGGTAAAGGGATCAATTCAACAAGAAGAGCTAACTATCCTAAATATATATGCACCCAATACAGGAGCACCCAGATTCATAAAGCAAGTCCTGAGTGACCTACAAAGAGACTTAGACTCCCACACATTAATAATGGGAGACTTTAACACCCCACTGTCAACATTAGACAGATCAACGAGACAGAAAGTCAACAAGGATACCCAGGAATTGAACTCAGCTCTGCACCAAGCGTACCTAATAGACATCTACAGAACTCTCCACCCCAAATCAACAGAATATATATTTTTTTCAGCACCACACCACACCTACTCCAAAACTGACCACATACTTGGAAGTAAACCTCTACTCAGCAAATGTAAAAGAACAGAAATTATAACAAACTATCTCTCAGACCACAGTGCAATCAAACTAGAACTCAGGATTAAGAATCTAACTCAAAACCACTCAACTATGTAGAAACTGAACAACCTGCTCCTGAATGACTGCTGGGTACATAACGAAATGAAGGCAGAAATAAAGATGTTCTTTGAAACCAACGAGAACAAAGACACAACATACCAGAATCTCTGGGACGCATTCAAAGCAGTGTGTAGAGGGAAATTTATAGCACTAAATGCCCACAAGAGAAAGCAGGAAAGATCCAAAATTGACACCCTAACATCACAATTAAAAGAACTAGAAAAGCAAGAGCAAACACATTCAAAAGCTAGCAGAAGGCAAGAAATAACTAAAATCAGAGCAGAACTGAAGGAAATAGAGACACAAAAAACCCTTCAAAAAATTAATGAATCCAGGAGCTGTTTTTTTGAAAAGATCAACAAAATTGATAAACCAGTAGCAAGACTAATAAAGAAAATAAGAGAGAAGAATCAAATAGGCGTGATAAAAAATGATAAAGGGGATATCACCACCGATCCCACAGAAATACAAACTACCATCAGAGAATACTACAAACACCTCTATGCAAATAGACTTAGAAAATCTAGAAGAAATGGATAAATTCCTGGACACATACACTCTCCCAAACTAAACCAGGAAGAAGTTGAATCTCTGACTAGACCAATAACAGGATCTGAAATTGTGGCAATAATCAATAGCTTACCAACGAAAAAGAGTCCAGGACCAGATGGATTCACAGCCGAATTCTACCAGAGGTACAAGGAGGAGCTGGTACCATTCCTTCTGAAACTATTCCAACCAATAGAAAAAGAGGGAATCCTCCCTAACTCATTTTATGAGGCCAGCATCATCCTGATACCAAAGCCGGGCAGAGACACAACCAAAAAAGGAATTTTAGACCAATATCCCTGATGAACATTGATGCAAAAATCCTCAGTAAAATACTGGCAAACCGAATCCAGCAGCACATCAAAAAGCTTGTCCACCATGATCAAGTGGGCTTCATCCCTGGGATGCAAGGCTGGTTCAATATATGCAAATCAATAAATGTAATCCAGCATATAAACAGAACCAAAGACAAAAACCACATGATTATCTCAATAGATGCAGAAAAGGCCTTTGACAAAATTCAACAACACTTCATGCTAAAAACTCTCAATAAATTAGGTATTGATGGGACGTATTTCAAAATAATAAGAGCTATCTATGACAAACCCACAGCCAATATCATACTGAATGGGCAAAAACTGGAAGCATTCCCTTTGAAATCTGGCACAAGACAGGGATGTCCTCTCTCACCACTCCTATTCAACATAGTGTTGGAAGTTCTGGCCAGGGCAATTAGGCAGGAGAAGGAAATAAATGGTATTCAATTAGGAAAAGAGGAAGTCAAATTGTCCCTGTTTGCAGACGACATGATTGTATATCTAGAAAACCCCATCATCTCAGCCCCAAATCTCCTTAAGCTGATAAGCAACTTCAGCAAAGTCTCAGGATACAAAATCAATGTACAAAATCACAAGTATTCTTATACACCAACAACAGACAAACAGAGAGCCAAATCATGAGTGAACTCCCATTCACAATTGCTTCAAAGAGAATAAAATACCTAGGAATCCAACTTACAAGGGATGTGAAGGACCTCTTCAAGGAGAACTACAAACCACTGCTCAATGAAATAAAAGAGGATACAAACCAATGGAAGAACATTCCATGCTCATGGGTAGGAAGAATCAATATCTTGAAAATGTCCATACTGCCCAAGGTAATTTACAGATTCAATGCCATCCCCATCAAGCTACCAATGACTTTCTTCACAGAATTGGAAAAAACTACTTTAAAGTTCATATAGAACCAAAAAAGAGCCCGCATCGCCAAGTCAATCCTAAGCCAAAAGAACAAAGCTGGAGGCATCATGGTACCTGACTTCAATCTATACTACAAGGCTACAGTAACCAAAACAGCATGGTACTGGTAGCAAAACAGAGATATAGATGAATGGAACAGAACAGAGCTCTCAGAAATATCGCCGCATATCTACAACTATCTGATCTTTGACAAACCTGACAAAAACAAGCAATGGGGAAAGGATTCCCTATTTAATAAATGGTGCTGGGAAAACTGGCTAGCCATATGTAGAAAGCTGAAACTGGATCCCTTCCTTACACCTTATACAAAAATCAATTCAAGATGGAATAAAGACTTAAACGTTAGACCTAAAACCATAAAAACTCTAGAAGAAAACCTAGGCTTTACCTTTCAGGACATAGGCATGGGCAAGGACTTTATGTCTAAAACACCAAAAGCAATGGCAACAAAAGCCAAAATTGGCAAATGGGATCTAGTTAAACTAAAGAGCTTCTGCACAGCAAAAGAAACTACCATCAGAGTGAACAGGCAACCTACAAAATGGGAGAAAATTTTCACAACCTACTCATCTGACAAAGGGCTAATATCCAGAATCTACAATGAACTTAAACAAATGTACAAGAAAATCAAACAACCCCATCAAAAAGTGGGCGAAGGACATGAACAGACACTTCTCAAAAGAAGACATTTATGCAGCCAAAAAACACATGAAAAAATGCTCACCATCACTGGCCATCAGAGAAATGCAAATCAAAAGCACAATGAGATACCATCTCACACCAGTTAGAATGGCAATCATTAAAAAGTCAGGAAACAACAGGTGCTGGAGAGGATGTGGAGAAATAGGAACACTTTTACACTGTTGGTGGGACTGTAAACTAGTTCAACCATTGTGGAAGTCAGTGTGGTGATTCCTCAGGGATCTAGAACTAGAAATACCATTTGACCCAGCCATCCCATTACTGGGTATATACCCAAAGGACTATAAATCATGCTGCTATAAAGACACATGCACAAGTATGTTTATTGTGGCATTATTCACAATAGCAAAGACTTGGAACCAACCCAAATGTCCAACAATGTTAGACTGGATTAAGAAAATGTGGCACATATACACCATGGAATACTATGCAGCCATAAAAATGATGAGTTCATGTCCTTTGTAGGGACATGGATGAAATTGGAATTCATCATTCTCAGTAAACTATCGCAAGAACAAAAAACCAAACACTGCGTATCCTCACTCATAGGTGGGAATTGAACAATGAGAACACTGGACACAGGAAGGGGAACATCACACTCTGGGGACTGTTGTGGGGTGGGGGGAGGGGGGAGGGATAGCATTGGGAGATAAACCTAATGCTAGATGACGAGTTAGTGGGTGCAGCACACCAGCATGGCACATGTATACATATGTTACAAACCTGCATGTTGTGCACATGTACCCTAAAACTTAAAGTATAATAATAATAAAGAAATGGGTCTTCTCTACCCAAGAACACACACACACAAAAAAAAAAAAAAAAAAAAACAACAAGAAAGACAAACAGTATGCTCATCACACACAAATGCAAGGTCATTTTTAGGCATTAGATGGGGCTTAATTTAATCTAAGTTTTTCATGTACTTTGTATCTTCTAACCTGCATACCTCTATTTCCTCTTCTAGCCCTCTACCTCTGGTAACCACTGTTTTATTTTTATCACTGTATATTTAATTTTTTAAATATTCCCCATATAAGTGAGATCATTCAGTATTTGTCTTTCTGTGTCTGGTTTATTTCACTTAGAATAATGTCCTCCAGGCTTGTACGTGTTGTATCAAATAACACGATCTTCCTTTTCAGGGATGAATAATATTCTATTGTAAATATATACCACCATTTCTTTATCTATTTGTCCTTCATGAGGCACTTGGGTTGTTTCCATACCTTAGCTGTGATGAATAATACTGCAAAAACATGGAAGTACAGATGCTTTAAGAGGTGGTGAATTCACAGGATAAACAAGTCTAGAGATCTAATGAACAACATGAGGACTAGGGGTAATAAAATTATACCGTATTTGGGATTCGTGCTAAATGAATATATCTTAGCTGATCTTGCACACAGACACACAAAAAGGGTAACTATATGTTAATGTTTGTGTTAATTTGCTTTACTATAGTAAGATTTTACTCTATGTATCACATGACATTATGTTGTGAACCTTAAATAGATGCATTAAAATTTATTTTTTAAAAGGGTTCATTAACTGCGGTTCAGGCAATCTATAAACCTTTTACATTTTGGAGGTGAGATTTTCAGTATCTGCATTTATCTTGGATTTTCAAGGGGTTCATTTGAACAAGCAAACAAACGAAGAAACAAGCTTAAGAATCTTTCTTACAATGAATTCTTCCTAAGTAGTTTTCTTGACTGGTTTCTTTTCTTTTTCTGAAACAGTCTTTTCTTATTCACTTGTGATTGAATAGCCTACAAAATTGATCTAGACAATTAGGCTCTTGAAATTGATTACGGCCTAGTGCATTCTCACCTGGAATAAAAGCCTTCCTTTGGAGCATCTTCTATTTTTTAATTGTTGAGAGTTGGGGACTTTCCTTCTCATTCTGTATTTTCAGTGTCAGTTTTTATGGCTTGTGTGTTCCAGGTATGGTTGGGTCATGGTCATGCAGTCTATTCACAAGGCCTTGTGCTTAGAAGAACATCCCAAGCTTGGTTTAATGCTTTGATCTCATGGTCCTGAAATTTTACATAATTTTTTTGTACAAGGATTCTTGCAGTTTTATTTCGTATTGAAATAGGAGAGTTTCCTTATCCTCCTCGCATGGCAAGTGACAGGAGTGTGGCTTGCTTCTTTGGTGCCCCACTGCTCAAATCCCTAGGGGTGGAATGCAGACAGGCAGGTGTACAGGTCGTGGGAGTGTTTTTGGGCTCCAACCCCACAGCAGCATCTAGGGTTAAGTGTTTACAGCTCCTGAAGCCCCAATGGGTGTGTGTTACAGTGTGATCTTTCAGCTTTGCTGTCTTCAGGCGGCTTGCATTAATCAGCTCAGTTAGACCCTCTGCATTACCACAAGGGCAGCAGGCTTTCTGTATTCCAAGTTCTTGCCCAGTGTATCGGAAAAATTGGATCACATGTGGACATGGAGGATGAGTGCAAGGTTTTATTGAGTGGTGGAGGTGGCTCTCAATGAGATGGATGGGGAGCCAGAAAGGGGACGGAGTGGGAAATTGGTCTTCCCCTGGAGTCGGGCAGCTCATTTGCCGATGATGCTCTGACCACCCCCAGACGAACTCCCCTCGGTGTCTGCATCGTTCCACCATCACTGGTCTGCTGGCATCTGCTGGTGTCTGCTGTTGTGCTCCTCTGCTCCTGTCAACATCCAGCCACTTGTGTCCATGCCCACTAAGGCCTCGGGTTTTTTTGGGCACAGGATGGGGCCTGTGGTGGGCCAGAGTGGTCTTGGAAAATGCAACATTTGGGTGCAAAAACAGGAGAGCCTGTTCTCACTTAGGTCCTTGGGCAAAGTTCTGTGGGTGGAGCCCTCACCAGGGACCCCACCCTTCTCTACACATCACTTCCCAACCCTGCTCCTGTATCAATATTGGATTCTGTATACTATGTATCTGAGGTCCCAGTTCTAGGTTTTACAACTTGTAACTTTTTCCTATCCTTGACCTACTCCTCTGCTCGTTCTTCCTCTATCATGCAGAACCTTCCCAACATACTGACCTAGCAAGCCCAGGTGTTCCTTATTCAAGAGGTGTTCACCTTTTATTCTGTCCTGACACAGGGGTTAGACCTACTGTGGTTTTCCTTCTTTGTACACACATCTTAGCTGTAGTCTTTTTACCTCTCTCCACTTATGAGCCCTTCTTCTCTACTGCAATTGTGTATTTCTGGATCCCATAAAAGCCAATGAGCCTCTCAGTCAAAACTGTTTCAGATCTCACAGGCAGTTATTAAGCCACATGCAACAAATAAGTTATTCTGCAAATGAACTCCTCTAGTCCAATTTCCTACTGTGTCTTTTTAAATCTGAAATTCCCACATCCTGATATATTTTCTCTCATTTTTCTTTGTTGTAACCACTGAAACTGTACTCTGGTGAAGGCCATTGATACTCTTGATAGGAACTTGAAATGAGTAACACTTAACGTGAGAAAGATTTGAAGTGAATAAGAGTAAAGTGAAATATCTGTAGTTTAGGGAGCTTAGCTGGATTTTCTGCACTTTGCATTAAGTGTGTGTGTGTGTGTGTTTGTGTGTGCACATACACACACAAATTTCACTCAGTGATAGTTTCCAAAGAACCATTACATCTGGTATCCTTGTATTTGCTCGTTATCCTTCTGTAGACCCAGGAAATCTGAGACAGGTCTCAGTTAGTTTAGAAAGTTTATTTTGCCAAGGTTGAGGACACACCTGTGACACAGCTTCCAGAGGTCCTGAGGACATGTGTTGAAGGTGGTCATGGTACAGCTTGCTTTTATACATTTTAGAGAGACATAATCTATCAATCAATACATGTAAGATTTACCTTGGTTTGGTGCAGGACAACTCAAAGTCCAGGTTGGGGCAGCGTGGCGTGGCGTTTCCAGGCTGTAGGTAAATTTAAATATTTTCTGGTTGACAATTGGTTTGTCTAAAGACCTGAGATCAATAGAAAAGTCTGTGTTATGTTAATGCTGGAGAGGAATAATGAGGCATGTCCGACCCCCATTTCCCTTAACCGCCTGAACTAGTCTTTCAAGTTAAATTTTACAAGCCCTGGCTGAGGAGGAAGTCCCTTTATTTATTTTTGGTTTACACTTCTTATGATATCCTTCTTAGAAGTTTTCTTGCTACAGTTGTTGCCATAAACTTTACTTTTTTTTTTTTTTTGGTAGAACCTTACTCTGTCGCCAGGCTGGAGTACAGTGGCTGATCTCCGCTCACTGCAACCTCTCCATCCTGGGCTTGAGCAATTCTTCTGCCTCAGCCTCCGAAGTAGCTGAGATTACAGGCACGTGCCACCACACCTGACTGATTTTTGTATTTTTAGTAGAGATGGGGTTTCTCCGTGTTGGCCAGGCTGGTCTTGAACTCCTGACCTCAGGTGACCCACCCGCCTCAGCCTCCCAAAGTGCTCGAACTACAGGCATGAGCCATCCTGCCTGGCCAAACATTACTTTTTTAATGAGGTCTTCCTTGACTTTCCTTTCCCCAAAACTGTATTTCCTTTATTTTTCTCCACAACAGTTATTTGAATATTATTTATTTACTTGAAATAATAGCTCTCTCTGTCCACTAGAATGGGAAAACCAAAAAAAGCAGAAATTTTTGAAAGGTTTGTTCGCTTCTGCATCTATAGTGCCCAATCACACAAAATATTGAGTATCAGTAAATACTTGTTTCATGAATATCTATTTTGATGCCCAAAATGACATGAGAAGAGGAAAGATAAATATTATTATTTCCATTTACACATGGGAAAACACAGTGATTCATTCAGTTGCAAAGCTTTTAAATTACTGAAGTAACTCTGTAATCCAGGGCTCCTAACCAGCTCCTAACATCAAGATATGTCATAGCTTCTACTTGATATTTCTTAGATATATCACATACAGGTACTCAAGGGCACAAGTCAGTCACATAGTAGAACATGACTAAGTGTAAGGAGAATGTGTCTGGCACAATCCTGTTTATCATGGTGCACTATGTAAGAATGCCATGACTATCTGTGTCCCCAGAAGTTCCTTATCATCATATATCTCAAGGCCTTCCAGGTCTATACATACAATTTTATGAAACAGTTTAGCTTTAGAAAGGTGATATGTATTGCAGCAGCAGCTAATAAAGGAAGTTTTTAAAATACATAATTTTCAGTTCTTACCTCAGATTCTCAGATTGTATGCACTAGTAGTGTGACCTCGGTTCAATTATTTAACCTTTTTGTACGTTGCTTTTCTCAATAGTAACAGCAAGACAGAGTTTTGATTATAGGCATTCTAAAACTTACAGTAAAATAAATGAGGTGACTCATTTTGAGATGAGACAAGAATTGAGAAGCCTGTAATAAAAATTTCAAGTATGAAAGAATGGGCAAAAATTAAAAACTTCTCGAAAGAAAGGAAAATGTGAATTAGCAAAGATTCTGATGTGAAGAGAGGTAAAAAGCCAAAAGGATTTGTAATACCTCTTGTTAGATACAAGTTGTGATTAAAAGATTAAATACCAACTCTGAAAATATTAATTTATTTTCTTTCTAAACACATTAAGTCATTGCTCTAAACATCCTCAAGATACTATATGAAAATTTATTTTATTTCACAGTTCTTTGTTCATTTATTTGGCATATGTTTATTGAGCCATTCTGACTGTGCATTTTGAGCTATGATCTTGGAACACTTGCATTAGAATCCTACAGATAATCATTAGAGATGAAGATTCCAGTACCCCACATAAGAATTTCTGCAAAAACCTGTGATATGGGCTAATAAACAAGCTTCCCAAGAATTGCTTCTACACTAAGTTTCAATAATCACTTAATTCTCCTGAGAACATGACATCACGCAAGGCTACATGGAGATAAATCTGTGAGTAAAAATTGCAAGTCATTCATTCTTACATGCTCTCCTTTTTGCATTTTAAGAAAATTTAGTATAAAAATATGTGTTGAGAAGTATAATTAAAAAATGAACTTCACTTTGTCCCTGCTCTCAACACCATTATGTGATGAGAAAGTATATACTTTATAATGATACAATGGGGGCTAAATAATAAATTAGAGAAATATAGAATACTCTGGAAATAAAGAAGAGAGAATTCAGTGACACGTATTAGGAGAAATGGATGAGAAATGCTTCACAAAGAAGTGGCCTTTAAAGTGGGTCATGTAGCATGAATAGAATTAGGTTTTAAAAAGTACAGGAAGATAGAAGAGATGTAGCTCAGTCATATAGATAGATAGATAGATAGATAGATAGATAGATGATGGATAGATAGATACAGGTGTAGGTATAGATATATCTATAGGTGTAGAGAAAGAATATATTAGTAATGTAATGCCTAGGCAAATGATATAATGACATTGTAGACTTACAAAATTATAGTAAGTCTACCATAATTACCAAAACCAGTTTATGGTAGTACCCAGAAATAGATAACTTTCGATGATATATGAAGATGTGGAGAAAAACTAATTCAAATGAACATTAACATGGTATGTGCATTTGTTTATATTGGCTTTATTTCCATAGCTTGAAGAGCAAACTGTCAGGAAATGTCCAACACAAATGGCAGTGCAATCACAGAATTCATTTTACTTGGGCTCACAGATTGCCCGGAACTCCAGTCTCTGCTTTTTGTGCTGTTTCTGGTTGTTTACCTCGTCACCCTGCTAGGCAACCTGGGCATGATAATGTTAATGAGACTGGACTCTCGCCTTCACACGCCCATGTACTTCTTCCTCACTAACTTAGCCTTTGTGGATTTGTGCTATACATCAAATGCAACCCCGCAGATGTCGACTAATATCGTATCTGAGAAGACCATTTCCTTTGCTGGTTGCTTTACACAGTGCTACATTTTCATTGCCCTTCTACTCACTGAGTTTTACATGCTGGCAGCAATGGCCTATGACCGCTATGTGGCCATATATGACCCTCTGCGCTACAGTGTGAAAACGTCCAGGAGAGTTTGCATCTGCTTGGCCACATTTCCCTATGTCTATGGCTTCTCAGATGGACTCTTCCAGGCCATCCTGACCTTCCGCCTGACCTTCTGTAGATCCAGTGTCATCAACCACTTCTACTGTGCTGACCCGCCGCTCATTAAGCTTTCTTGTTCTGATACTTATGTCAAAGAGCATGCCATGTTCATATCTGCTGGCTTCAACCTCTCCAGCTCCCTCACCATCGTCTTGGTGTCCTATGCCTTCATTCTTGCTGCCATCCTCCGGATCAAATCAGCAGAGGGAAGGCACAAGGCATTCTCCACCTGTGGTTCCCATATGATGGCTGTCACCCTGTTTTATGGGACTCTCTTTTGCATGTATATAAGACCACCAACAGATAAGACTGTTGAGGAATCTAAAATAATAGCTGTCTTTTACACCTTTGTGAGTCCGGTACTTAATCCATTGATCTACAGTCTGAGGAATAAAGATGTGAAGCAGGCCTTGAAGAATGTCCTGAGATGAAATATTGTCATGACCATGGTGATGCCTTTGTTTCCTAATAAACATTAAATCGAAATCTTTGGCTCACATGTCCTAGCGTTCTGATGGTGAGTTTTAATATTCTCTGTGAGTCTATGTTGAGTGTCTCAGCTAAAAAGCTCATGCTGGGTAAAAATGAGATTTTTCTAGGCTTTGCTCCTCCACATATATTCCATGAATCAGCAGCATGAGCTCTTCCTTGGAGGTTGTTACACGTACAGAATCAAAGTCTGCACCTCAGGTGCACTGTATTTAAATATGTGTTTTATCCAAACTCCTAGATGATTGATAAGCACACTGAATTTTGAGGAGCACTGCTGTGGGTGAAACGTGGCATGCCCTGGAACACTGTTGTGCTCTTTTTGTTTACAATGGCAAACAAAATAAATGTGCTCCCAGCCCAATTTCTTGAATGTATTCTATTCTTATTCTCGCCTGCTGCTTCAGCAGAGATGTCTTTAAGAAACCCATTCTTCTGCACTCCAAGAAATCCATTCTTCTGTACTCCTTTCCTGACTTGCTGTGGTAGACCAGAAACTAGGGGCCATGGTGATGGCTTCTGGTTTTTATAAGTGCTCTTACATAGTGAAGAGTGGCAATGGAAAAAGAGGGGAAGAGAATGATTGTACTTTTCTTAAACTTGAGTTTATGGATCCAGCTCTCTGAGTTACATAAACCCACCTTCCCATTCTGAGCCTCCAGTGTATGGAGGTCACTTTCTGTTTCGCCTGATTTTGAAAAATTTAAGCAGGCTGATCTGAGAATAAGGACTAAAATTAAAATGGGAAATGAAAGAACCGAGTAAACAATAGGTCATACGATAGAGTATCCACCTTGCTTTGAATATTCCTTCTATTTGTAATTAAGTTTAGGTAAGTAATGTTAATTTTTTGTTTTCCTTAGCACTGGCCTGTTTATATGTGTCCAAGGAAGTAAGGATTTCTTCCACAGGAAGAGAAGACATTGCTCTGGCATCTTCAAGAAACTTTAGAAAGTAGAAAGAATTCCTCTTTAGACATTATGCTAAAATGAATTATTTAAGGAACAAGTAAAAAATATATTTTTTTAAGATAGAGTTTCACTCTGTTGCCCAGGTTGGAGAACAGTGGCATGATCATATTAATAACTTCCTCCAACTCCTAGGCTCAAGTGACCCTCCCGCCTGAGCCTCCCTAGTAGCTGGGACCACAGGTGTGTGCTACCACACTCGGCTAATTTTTAAATTTTTTTGTAGATCTGATATCTGTCTATATTGCCCAGGAAGGTCTTAAACTCCTGGGCTCAAGTGGCTCTCCTGCCTCAGCCTCCCAAAATGCTGGGATTATAGGCATAAATTACTGTGCCTGGTCAAGATTCTTCTACTCTCCAAACTTTCTACTTATTGCCTCAAAATACTAAATATTTTCTAAATATCTTTATTGGAAGGCAAATTCTGCCATTACGCCATTAGAAAATAAAAAGATAAAATATTTTGTGTATATATTAAGTTGTACATTAAGTAACTGTATTTATAAGGCTTCTGCATTTTGTTCCTGTTGTTGTTTGGGTTTGTTGTTAGTTTTACAAGGAAAAAAGAGCCCCAAGCTATCTAAGTCAACAACGGCAATTTATGACAAATATATGGTTATATTTCACAGCTTCTAAAGACAAGAGTACAGCTGAATCTCGGTAATCAACCAAAATGCTGAACTCTAAGGCCAAGAGAAACCGTATGTCTCATTGTATATTTCATATCCATTTGTTACTAGGATACATAATAATTGAGCTTAATTATGACCCTTGCATCCAGCAACCCTGCTCATTTGTCTTAATTAGAGTAGAATTTTTGTTTGTTTCTTCTATAAATTCTCTAAAATTTACTTCATTTCATCTGCAAATTAACAGATTTTATTCCTTTCCAATATTTATGAGTTTTATTTATTTTTCCTTCATCATTGCAGACTTAGACTGATATTATAATGTCAAATAGAGGTAGTGAAAACAAATATCAAGGCCTTGTTCCTCATTTCATTTGTGTTTTGTTTCTTTGTTTGTTTTGAGACAGAGCCTTGCTCTTGTCGCCCAGGTTGGAGTGCAATGGCACAATCTTGGCTCACTGCAACCTCTGCCTCCCGGGTTCAAGTGATTCTCCTTCTTCAGCCTCCTGGGTAGCTGGGATTACAGGCACCCACCACCATGCCTGACTAATTTTTGTATTTTTAATAGAGATGGGTTTTCGCCATGTTGGTCAGGCTGGTCTCGAACTCCTGACCTCATGATCCACCTGCCTCAGCCTCCCAAAGTTCTGGGATTATAGGCGTGAGCCACCATACCCAGCCTTGCTCCTTATTTTAGGGGGAACATATTTAATGTATCATCAGGTTGTATATCATTAGTTTGATTTTTTTTGTGGCATTATTAAGATTCCATTTAAAAATTTGACATATTTGTTCATGCATCTGTTGTTAGAAGTGGGATTGTTTTATTAAGTATCAAATTATCTTAAGTTTCAGGCTTAATGACAGTGTAATTTCAGGGGCATAAGGAAGATTTTCCCACTCATCCAACATAGACTTATACTGAGAGAGATGTAATTACAATTAACAACCATGTATTTCTAATTTCACATGTGCGGGATGCTTTGTTCTCTTTTTCTCATCTGATCAAGGCACCATGGCTCCAACATCCTCATCTATGGGATATCTTGCTGACTTTTGTAGGTAGAAGTAAGCATTTTCTGCATTGTGTCCATAATCTACTTTTTAATTAGAAATTTTACTTAATTTCACACTATATTCATTTCTGTGGTCAAAAAAATCAAATAAAATTGTGAATTGGGGTGGTGGCTGAAGGATAGTAATAATATGTTTAGGCAATTTGGGTAAATCATGGAGTATTTTTTCTTTAATGAAGAAATATGCTGTTCTGCTTCATCCATTTATTGCAATTCCAAAAAGCAAACTAAGTATAGTCAGATTACTTGGATTTTATGAGAATTTCATAATATTATAATTATTGCAAAATTTATTAATTTTAAAAAATCACGTGAACCAAAACTAAACACTTGTGGATATAATCAAGATTCTTGTTTTCAATATATTTACTCAAAAAACATTTATGGATAACTTAGCATGTTCCAGGCAGTGTACTGAGTGTTGTGTATACAGTGAATATAAAATACAGTTTCTTCTTCTCTTGGATAACAGGCTGGAGGGGAAGATATATCTTAAACAAACAAAATAAACTGCACTTAAAATTAAGATTGTGACAAGTGTCATAAATAAGTAGAATAAGGCAACAGGAGAGAGAACAATTATGATGGTGCACAGATTTTACTGTAGGTAGAAGATGTCTTCTCTTAGGGTTGATATTTAAGCTGGCATCCTAGAGATGATTAGGGAATAACTAGAAGAAGTTTGGGAGAAATAGAATTCAAAGCAGTAATTAGAACTAAGCACCACATCGAAATGATAGAAAGATCTCAACAACTTAACATAACAACTAAATAATATAAGGAGGCTGCTAGCTAGACTAATATGAAGAAAAGAGAGATGGCCCAAAAAACAAAATTATAAATGACCAAGGAGATGTTACCACTGAACCCCTAGAAATACAAATAACCATCAGAGACTATTATGAGCACCTCTATGCACACAAACGACAAAATCTAGAAGGGATGGATAAATTCCTGGACACATACCCTTCACAAGACTAAGCCAGGAAGAAATTGATTTCCTGAACAGACCAATAATGAGCTCCAACATTGAATCAGTAGTAAGTAGCCTACCAACCAAAAGAAATCCCAGTACCAGATGGATTCTCTGCCAAATTCTACCAGATGTACAAAGAAGAGATAGTACCATTTGTATTGAACCTATGCAAAAAATTTAGGAAGAATGATTCTTCCCCAGTCGTTCCTTAAGGCCAGCATCATTCTGATATCAAAACCTGGCAAAAACACAACAAAAAATGAAAATTTTAGGCCAATATCCTTGATGAATATTAATGCAAAAATCTTCAACAAAATAGTTGCAAACTTAATCCATGAGAACATCAAAAGCCTAATCTATCACAATCAAGTAGGCTTTATCCCTGGGATGTGAGGTTGGTTCAACATACATAAAGTTAAATGTGATTCATCACACAGACAGAACTAGAGGCAAAAACTATGTGTTATTTCAACAGATACAGAAAAGGCTTTTATTAAAATTCAACATCCCTTCATGTTAAAAACTCTCAGTGAGCTAGGTATTGAAGGAACATACCTCAAAATAATAAGAGCCATCTGTGACAAACCCACAGCCAACATCACACAGAATGGGGAAAAGTTGGAAGCATTCCCCTTAAAAACCTGCACAAGGCAAGGATGCTGTCTCTCACCACTCCTATTTAACATGGTATTGGAAGTGTTAGCCATAACAATTAGGCAAGAGAAAGAAATAAAGGGCATCCAAATAGGAAGAGAGGAATTCAAGCTATGCCTGTTTGCAGTCAATATAATTTTATATCTAGAAAACCCAAAAACTTCTTCAGCTGATAAACAACTTCAGCAAAGTCTCAGGGTACAGAATCAATGTACAAAAATCACTTGCTTTCCTATACACCAATAACTGTCAGGCAAACAGTCAAATCAGGAATGCAATCCAATTCACAATTGTTAGAAGAAAAATAAAATACTTAGGAATACAACTAACTAGAAAGATGAAAGAGCACTACAATGAGAATTACAAAATCTGCTCAAAAAAATCAGAGATGACACAAACAAAAGGGAAAACATTCTGTGATGGTTAATAATGAGTGAGTGTCAACTTGATTGGATTGAAGGATGCAAAGTATTGATCCTTGATGTGTCTGTGAGGGTGTTGCCTAAGGAGATTAACATTTGAGTCAGTGAGGTGGGAAAGGCAGACATACCCTTAATCTGGATGGGCACAATCTAATCAGCTGACAGTGTGCCCAGAATATAAAGTAGGCAGAAAAACATGAAAAGGTTAGACTGGCTTAGCCTCCCAATCTACATCTTTCTCCCGTGCTGGATGCTTCCTGCTCTCAAACATTGAACTCCATGTTCTTCAGCTTTGAGACTTGGACTGGCTTCCTTGCCCCTCAGCTTGCAGATGGCCTATTGTAGGACCTTGCCTTGTGATCATGTGAGTTAATAATACTTAACAAACTCCCATATATATATATACACACACACACACATATATATATACATATATATATATGTATATCCTATTATTTCTGTCCCTCTAGAGAACCCTAATACACATTACATGCTCATAGATAAGGAAAATTAATATTATTACAATGGCCATACTACCCAAAGCAATTTACAGATTCAATGCTATTCCTGTCAAACTACCAATGACATTCTTCATAGAATCAGAAAAAAAGCTATTTAAAAATTTATAGGGAACCTTGAACCCAAATAGCCAAAGCAATCCTAAGCAAAAAGAACAAACCTGGAGCATCACGTTACCTGACTTCAAACTATACTATAAGGCTACAGGAAGCAAAACAGCATGGTACTGGTGCAAAAACAGACAAAACAATGAAACAGAATTGAAAGGCCATAAATAAGACCACACACCTACAACCATCTGATTTTTGACAAAGCTGACAAAAGAACAGGGGGAAAGGACACCCTATTCAATAAATGGTGCTAGGCTGACTGGCTAGCCATATACAGAAGATTGAAACCGGACCTGTTTCTTACACCATACACAAAAATCAACTAAAGATGAATTAAAGACTTAAATATAAAACCCTGAACTGTCAAAACCCTGAAAGACAACATAGGCAACACCATTCTGGACATAGGAACTGGCAGAGATTTCATAATGAAGACACCAAAAACAATTGCAATAAAAGCAAAAATTGACAAATTTTTGGATATAAATAAACTTAAAAGCTTCTGTGAAAGAAACTTTCAACAGAGTAAACAGACAACCTACAGAATGGAATAAAATATTTGCAAACTATCCATCTGACAAAGGTAATATCCAGCATCTATAAGGAACTTAAACGAATTTACAAGAAAAAAATGATCCCATTAAAAAGTGAGAAAAGGACATGAATAGATACTTTTCAAAAGAAGACGTAAATGGGAGCTAAATAATGAAAACACATGGACACAAAGGGGAGAACAACAGACACTGGGGCCTACTTGAAGATGGAAGATGGGAGTAGGGAAAGGATCAGAAAAAATAACTGTTTGGTACTAGGCTTAGTATGTGGGTGATGAAATAATCTGTACAACAAACCCCCATGACGTGAGTTTAACTGTATCAAAAACCTTCACATATACCCCTGAACCTAAAAAAAAAAAAAAAAAAAGGTTAAAAAACGGCTCTGTGAAGGTTCTGAGTTTGAAAAGGGCTTGACCCAAGACCAGTATGGCTATACCAGGGAATGAGGGAGACAGTGACAGATAATGCTGATTTAGGTGTAGACTATAGTAAAAGTTTTTATTTCGGTATATCATTGGAAAAATGTGCTTCCAATGAAGCATTCATGTATCTCTTTTGCCTTCATAATTAGGGCAAATACATGTACTATTTGATCACATGTACAGGGTACATCTTACATTCATATGTCCTAGCTAAGTGAGGATTGGATACTTGGTAAAAGGGAAAAAAAAGGTAGGCAAAATATTTTGATCTTTATTCTGTTTGTTTTCATAGGTTGGCAAATAAATAACATTTTGCTAAGTTACACATTCACCAGGTTTTCCATAAAATATTACTTCCCAACACCTGGATTAAATACCATGAACTAACTCAACTACAACAATTTTGAGGTCCAAATTATTTTACCCAGTAGATTTTACAATTTAACTTCTTTATTCTAACCATTTTGTGAAAGGTAGTGTCCAACACACAATTCAGGCTGAAAGAGAATCACAGAAACATCAACGCTTATGAATTATGTCATTATTTTTTTACCTTTATTAATCATTCCATTCATCTGATTGGAATAATGAACCATAATGCAAAACCCCATGTGAATAAACTCCTGATCCCCAAAGCAATCATCTCGTAGTGATTACAAATTGTTGCAATCAAGTTGCTTAAGTCCCAAGTTTCTATTGAGCACATGAGTCTGTACCAATTACTACATTTTCCCTGGAGTTGTGTTTTTTAGTAACATTGCAATTGTTTCTTCAGAGTGTATTAAAAAATACTTTAGTGATAAGAGCTCCAAATTACAAGATGGGTATAACTTATTCTTGTTAACTCATTTTTTGGAGCACTAGTGTCTGTGGGAGTACCTTTCTTGGCATCAGGTAGGAATAAAAATTCTGACTTCTGCACTTGTACTTTCTCTTCTTGTCTCAATTTTGGATTTTTATCAGTAGGAGTCAAGTGACAATAAAAGTAGCTTCAAATGTTAGTTTAGATTCTCAGCCTATTAAAATGAGTTTGTATACATTTCTTATCTAGACGGGTGATGAGAAAGTATTACACTTTAATTGAAATTATTCACAACAACTGTTTCACTTTACAAATATCATTCTCACCATTCATTCAAATATTGAACCCACTTGAATAACTATTGGAGTAAACATTAATATGACAATAAATTCAAGTGTTGAACACACCTTGAATAACCACTGGAGTAAATATTAATAAGACAATCAATTCAAGTGTTTACTAGAATAATATCTGTTGAAAAGACCCCTTATAAAGGAAACGCTTTATCAAAAGTTCAAAAGAGATCTTATTTTTTTATGGCTGAATAGTATTTCATTGTATCATAGATGGACACAATGAAATATCATAGACATTTTACATTAAGTAAAATAAGCCAGGAAAAGAATATTAAATACTCTATGTTCTCACTCGTACGTGGAAACTAAAAAATGTTTATGTCAGAGAAGTAAAAAGTAGAAAAGAGGATACTAGAGGCTTCCTAGAGGCTAGGAAGGGTAGAGAGAAGGAAGGATAGGCAGAAATTTGTTAAAGGATACAAATTATAGCAAGGTAAGAGGGATAAGTTCTACTGTTCTATGGTCCTGTAGGATTACTGTAGTTCATAATATATAGTTTCAAATAGCTAGAAAAAGGATAGTGAATGTTCCCATAATAAAGAAATGATAAATATTTGACATAAGGGATATGCTAATTACCCTTATCTGATCACTATACATCATATGCATCAAAACATCACTGTGTACCCACTAAAGATGAACAAGTATTATATGTCATTTAAAAATAAAGTAAAATAAAGGGGAAAAATTTGAAAGAGGGACAGATCAATTCATTAGAAATTGTACTTTTTCTAGAAAACATAAAACACTTATAGAACTTTACATATCTTTCTTTAAATTATCAGAGAAAATTTGGAGCAAATTTAATATTAACTAAGAAGTACATGACTAGTGATGAGTGTAGAATAGAAAAATCTATGAATGCAAAATCAGAATGTTAGAAATGATGGGCACTTTAGAAACTATTTTGTCAAAGTCTGACATTATATAGATTAGAATTCTAAAGCTCATAGGAAAAAATCACCATATCGAGGTAAAGAGACTGCTTTCTAAATGAAGACTTAAATGAGTTTTTATTGACATATCATAGGCAAGAATAAAGCCACAACATATAACATGCCCTAGAACTTAGGTTCATGCACTGTGCTTAGATAATGTGCCCTGTTATTTTATTTGTGAGACACTAGAATGGAAAACAAAGAGAAAGGGATGGTGCTGAAGTCCATTGTGACTGTGTAGACAAGGAAGGTGCTCCTGGCTGAGAAACTGATATTCACAGGAGTTGCTTGGCTCCACCAACTACTAGACTTATCTACCTCTGTTTTAATTGAAGATCGTAAAATATCATTATTTGCCCAGCAGTTCTTGCAGACTTATCTATGTCTTATTGCTCAGTTGAGGTCGTTCCTGGGCTCAATAACTGAAAATAAGCTTCAGTAATCTTTACCTCTGTTTTCTATGGTCTTTTCTTTGGCTTCAATTTCTCCTAGTCTCCCACACAATTCATTTTATAGGATGACATAATGGTGACCTGATGTATACAGAATGTTTAGTAACTATGAAAGCAGTTCCGTGCTATCTTATTTTGCTATCTCAAATATTTGTATTCTATTTTATTTCATTTTATTTTATGAGACAGGATCTCACTGTGTCACCCAGGCTAAAGTGCAGTGGTGCAATCATGGCATACTGGGCCCAAGGGAGCCTCTCACCTCAACCTCCCCAGTAGCTGAGACCACAGGCATGCACCACCACACCTGGAGATGGTTTTTTTTTTTAATATTTGTTTTTGTAGAGATGGAGTCTCCCTATGTTGCCCAGTTTTGTCTTGAACTCTTAGGCTCAAGCCTCAGCCTACCAAAGTGCTAGGAGTAAAGGCATGAGCCACATTGCCTGACCTTGCATTTTAACTGGAGCCTGAAGAAGCCAAACTTATTCCCAAATGAACATTTCCACAAGTAACTCAGATATCAGTAACATTTGTAGAAATTTACTTTGCACTTTTATTGAATCAATGTAATTTTTTTTTTAGTTGGGAGGATGGGAAAATCTTGGAACTCCGAATTTCACCCAAATATTTACCATGTTTACCAATTTACCATAAATGACACCTCTAGTTTTCTGTTCAACAATATATTCAAACAGGCTACTAAATGACAAATAATGTTACTTGAAAAATATCTTCATGTAATAAAAATAAACATATGGATATAGATATCCTGTGAATCAAAATTTACCAACATGAAAAATATGTGTTGACTTTGTTATCTAGTTTATCTTTAGTAATTCCAATACAGTGCGAAGCAAGTTAACATTATTGAAGCAGTGAAACATTTGGAGTTTTATTTTGGTTATATTTCTTGCAATAAGAAACATAGACTTTAAAAAACTCACTGATGTCTACACTGATTCCTAATTACCCAGAAATTTCAGACTGAACACCAATGTCATGGAAAAACCCCTTTGCAGAAGGACATCTGGTTTAATCCATCATTGAGGCTTAATTATTTTTCTGTGTGTTATTTCTCACACAGAGAACAATGTATGTATAGCTATTACAAAACTGATTCAGCACTCTTTCTAATGCTTTAATGTGAATTACTTGGCAATCTATATTGGAATACAAGTTAGAAAATAAGAGTCATGAAAGATAAATTTTGCTACTTTTTACACAAATATTAAATAAGTGTGCACTTTTTCTAAGCACAGGGCACACTGCGCATGGTAAACATTAAATAAGTTATCAAAGGCAATTCCTACAGGCATTAAACATCACCTTTGATACATTTCAGCAACCCAGTTTAACCATTGGCAAATAAATAACATTTTGCTAAGTTACACATTCACCAGGCTTTCCATAAAATATTACTTCCCAGCACCTGGATTAAATACCATGAACTAACTCTACTACAAGAATTTTGAGGTCCAAATTATTTTACCCAGTAGAAGTTTAAATAAAGAACTAGAAATGATCTTCAGATGACGTGTTATTAAACATTTCACAATCATTCAGCTATTTATTTTCAGTAGACTAAAGGCTTTAGCTCTGATGCAGAAAATTTGAATATATCATGGGAGTTATCAAAATTATTTTAAATTTACCAATAGTATTTGTCATATGCATGCTTTTAGTAATCTCAGTTGAGCATATGCCCCCCCAACATATATATACACATACATGAATATATATAGAGGTGCTTGTATGTTACACTGAGGCCCTCTAGAAGTGAAACTTGAATGTTTTAATATGACTAAGTTCATAATCTCCTGCCCAGGAAATTATAAATTAAAAACATTCCAGATCTCAAAGAGCTTTTCTTTACTGAAATATTGAGAAAGACATTTCCCAAGTACTTTAGCCTTTAAAATATGATTCATGCAAGCAACTAAATTAGAGAGTTCTTGGGAAGAGGGCTGTGGATAACAAGAGAAAAGTGAGAAGAGAAGAAACTAAGGATGTGTGATCAAAGAACAGGTTAACATGTAAAAAATTCAAAAGAGGAAAAAAATGCTTGCAAGTTATATGAGAGTATTTTAAATATTTGGACGTTGTCTCATGGATTACATCTATTTATCTATCTATCTATATCTATCTATCTATCTATCTATCTGTCTATCTATCTCTCCATCTATCTATCATCTATCTGTCTGTCTATTAGTTTGACTTATGCCTTACAACCAATAAACACTTAATAAGCAACCATGATTATTTGTTAAATATGATATGATGAATAAACAAATGCTAGTATTTAGGATTTCACAATACAGATTGTTTGAGAGTAGAATGGATTCACGTCCACCTGCAATTGATACGCAGAGCTCTGATATCACATTCTGTTTTATTTTCCTCAGAGTTTAACATTTTTTTCTCCTGTTTCTATTCTCTCCCCATTTATGGAGTGCCTCTTCAGTGCTCAGTATTTACCCCAAGCATTTTTTTTCCTATAATCAATGATAGTTCTCTACTAGTGGCACGGCTGAATGAAGCTGGTTTCCCAAATTGTGGAGATTATGTCTTACTTCCTTGAATTTTGTTTAGTTTTTGAGGTTCAGGGATGACAGCATTCCCTGCTGCTCAGTGTGAAATTAGGGATTTTAGCCTAAAGAGAAAATTTGATAGTGCTCTTGGGTCTTTGAATAAGGAAGGTTGGGACATGCTGAAAGCCTTTGCCCACTTTCTGGAGCTTTACTTTACACATGTCCATATAGAAGGATCTGTGATGTTCTGCAATAGAGCAACCTATTTTACCTTTCCCCACTTAAACCCAGTATTTCCAAACTTTTTTTTCCCCATAGGCCTATTTTGTTGCTTAATATTCAGTGGTTCTTCTGAACAAAGTTTTGAAAATTCTAACCTAAAAACTCAGACGATAGCAAGATTAACATGTTTACAACCCCTTTTCCTTACTCCTAATGGTACTTGCTCTACATCAGTTGAAGGGCTTTTCTAAAAGTGAAATGAAACAGAAGCGGTGTGATTTCTTTGTAGACCTAAAGTGCCTATGTCAATGGGAGGAGATACTATTATCCAAATATGAGTTTTCTCTTTAAGCTGTAGAGGGTAGGTTGCTGCATATATTTAAAGGAAAGAGCAGGACATAGAAAATTAAATTATAGTATCTTTTTTATCCTTTTTTCTTTATTTTTGTCATTATTTTATTATTTGTTAAGTATAATATGATGATTAAACAGATGATAATATACAAGATATATTGCATAAATGTAAAGATTAGATAAATATATTTATGCCATTAAAACATAAGATTTATATTTACTAAGGTGAATATTTTCCAAAATGATGCATCCTTCTGGAGAGTGAGGAAAGGGCACTTTTACTCTTTACATAAATCTTTATTTTCTAATTATTGCATTTTCCTCTCAAAGGCCAAAGTTGTAGATTTAAGACAAGAAATCATTTCAATTTCCAAGTAACAGGGAACGTCAGTTCTAATTCATCACCATCACTTGGGTGCCATACACACGCACAGGCACACACACTCAAAAACTGCGTGTCAAAGACAAATTCAAAGATGTGCTTCCTTGTAGATTTCAGGAGGCATGTTCACTCTTCTTGGTATGTGTTGGAGACTTTAAGTTTTGTTTGACTACTTACCGCTTATTAAATGTCTTATTTGCCACAATAGAAAAGTCATCCCTGCATCTATGTGAAATATGTTTAATTTCTCTTGAAAGTTGCCTAAGACAATTTTCTGCATGTACTGTTCATACTAGCTAAAACTGCTCCCCACTCTTATTCCTCTAGGAAATTCCTAGTTATTTTTCAAGCCCCAGTTAGATTATTGTCCTTTGATGCTTACCCTGATTCCTGAAACAATTAGTTATTTTGTTTGTATTTTTATTATTGAACTAATCATATTTAACTTTAATTTTCATGCTCCTTACCATGAAAATCAACCAGCTCTTTCAAGGCAAGCACTGTGATCAGTTGTCTTCAATTCCCCAGCAAAGCAACTTGCATGCATGGAGTGTTCAGTGCTGTTTGTGCACAAATGTAACCATATTACAATGGTTAAATCATTTAGCATCCTGAAAGCATCACAGAGTCAAAGTAGCTAACTTGTGTGAACCCTTAATTCAATTTCCGGGAAGAGGTTAGACACTGAAGTATGTAGTTGAAGACACTGGTGTTGCAAGGAATTGTATCCCACTAGCTCAAGCCTACAGACTTCTGTTTTGTGCCCTGGATTAAGATAAATTTAAAAATCGAATGAATTGCCAACACTATCTTTGGTAGATTTCCCATAAAAACAATGAATTCTGATATTTAAAATGTAAAGCTCTTAAGACCTTACAACACAAGGTCCCTGCTAACATAAAGCAAAATTCTATTGGCCTGAGTGACTTCTGAGTCTACACTGGGAACCACTCTATGTTTCACTTCAGTGGACTCTTAAACCCAACCCACTTCACTCATTCTTATTAGCTAAAGGGCTCCCATAGACATTTAAGTTTTGATCTCTTATCTCCTTTAGTGTTTTACTTATAAAATAACACAAGGCAACATTGGGAATTTATAATAAAAAATTATTGTATAGAATCCCAGCACCATAATTTCCCATTGTCTCATTTCATTACAATTGATATTATCTGAATTAATATTATCTGAAAGTATAATCTGTTCATTATAATTTGTATTGTTTGAACTCTAGGAATAATTCTATCTCTCTTGATTACTTTTCATTTTATTATTCTGGACATTATAATATTATAAAGAAGTTTGAACTAATGCTGCTAGAAACCTGAAACAAATTTGTGTTCCACTAGCAGAACAAATTTGTCACATTCTGTTATATGCTGTAAACCCCTTAAATGCATTCAGGATTAAATTAAAACATAAATGGACCAGTAGATAAAATCTATGAAATAACATTTGGCAACTTCTCTTGCTTTACTCCTACAAACTCCTTCGACTGAAAATTCCTTCATTAGTAATTCATATAGGCCCTTGTTATTCCAAATTTAGAAACCTTATCTTTGGTTTATTCACAAAGAAATGAATTGCTTTTGATTTTGTTGGTATAGCAGTAAGAAAAAAAAAGTGAAGAAAAAAAACCCAGAATTTCCTTCAAACCCCTATGATTCTGGACTCTCTAATACAGCACATAGCCAGTGAAATTCTCAAAGGTGGAGACACTAAAGCAGGGGTCCCCTAACCCCCAGGCCATGAACTGGTATGGTCCATGTCCTGTTAGCAACTGGGCCACACAGCAGGAGGCAAGCCACCAGCAAGTGAGCATTCCTGCCTGAGCTCCGCCTCCCGTCAGATTAGTCTTGGCATTAGATTCTCATGGGAGCACCCACCCTATTGTGAACTGCATGCGCATGCCAGCTATCTAGGTTGTGTGCTCCTTACGAGAATCTAATGCTTGATTATCCCCAACAACCCCACCCTCCAACCCCCATCCATGGAAAAATTGTCTTCCACAAAACTGGTCGTTGGTGCTAAAAAGGTTGGGGACTGTTGTTATAAAGGAAGCCCATGATTGTATAGTCAACTGAAAAAGGCAGTTAGTGGCTTAATCCATTTTTCGACAAACTTTAGGACACTATTCCCTCATTCCAAAACACGTTGGTAACACAGAAACCATTCTTTTTAGGAATCATCTGCATATGATACACCCAGTTAATTGGGGCCTTTGCTTTTTTAAGACCACCAGGCCCTATATTCTTGAGTCCTGCCTGACTGGCTGTGTGAGGGAGAACAAGAGAGAAAGAAAAAGAGAGAGAGCAAATAAGAGAAAGAGAAAAAAGGTAACATGTAATGGACTTCTCATTCACCTTGATTTATTTTCATCCATTTAAGTGAAAAATGCTGGTACCTAAGAAAATGGTTAGAGGAAATTCTACTTTGGTGACGGAATTTATTCTCTTGGGATTAAAGGATCTTCCAGAGCTTCAGCCCATCCTCTTTGTACTGTTCCTGCTAATCTACCTGATCACTGTCGGGGGGAACCTTGGGATGTTGGTGTTGATCAGGATAGATTCACGCCTCCACACCCCCATGTATTTCTTTCTTGCTAGTTTGTCCTGCTTGGATTTGTATTACTCCACTAATGTGACTCCCAAGATGTTGGTGAACTTCTTCTCAGACAAGAAAGCCATTTCCTATGCTGCTTGTTTAGTCCAGTGCTATTTTTTCATTGCTGTGGTGATTACTGAATATTATATGCTAGCTGTAATGGCCTATGATAGGTATGTGGCCATCTGTAACCCTTTGCTTTACAGCAGCAAGATGTCCAAAGGGCTCTGTATTCGCCTGATTGCTGGTCCATATGTCTATGGGTTTCTTAGTGGACTGATGGAAACCATGTGGACATACCACTTGACCTTCTGTGGCTCCAATATCATTAATCACTTCTACTGTGCTGACCCACCCCTCATCCGACTTTCCTGCTCTGACACTTTCATTAAGGAAACATCCATGTTTGTGGTAGCATGATTTAACCTCTCCAGCTCCCTCATCATAATCCTCATCTCCTACATCTTCATTCTCATTGCCATCCTGAGGATGCGTTCTGCTGAAAGTAGGCACAAAGCGTTCTCCACCTGCGGGTCCCACCTGGTGGCAGTGACTGTGTTTTATGGAACCCTGTTCTGCATGTACGTTAGACCTCCCACGGACAGGTCAGTGGAACAGTCCAAAGTCATTGCTGTTTTCTACACTTTTGTAAGCCCTATGTTGAACCCCATCATCTATAGTTTGAGGAACAAGGATGTGAAACAAGCTTTTTGGAAACTGATCAGAAGAAACGTGCTTTTGAAGTAAAATCAGTGTATCTTTATTAGTCAAATAAAAAAATCTTTCTATTTATGAGAACTGTATTTAACTTTAGTAGCTTTACAGTAAAGTCAATTTTAGATCCCCAATGAAAAACTATAATCTAACAACAAAACATAGACATAGATAGAGAAAATTTATGGTTTTACATGTTACATATGAGTGAAATATGTGTGTGTGAAGGGTAGGGAGGTGTATATGCATGTATGAGGAATAATTATTCTTTTATTCATAACATGCATACATTTACATGTATGAATTTACATGTGTAACAATTTACATGTAAATTTACATGTAAATTACATTTATAACAACATATTTTTTACATTATAAAAAATTATACATTGTTGTAATAAAACATTAGGTCTCTATGGAAAGGTAAAAAGTAAGAGATTAAAATATTTTATTTTCTTTCCCACACCCTGATTTTTTATTCTCACTTCCTAGAGTTACAACGATTAACAGTTTCTTTAGTTTTTTTTTTTTAATTTCTTCGTATCTACAAACAAATGTGTGGTTATATGTACACACATATATACACGATTGTTAAAACACAAGTTGACTGTCATGGTTGCTTTTTAGTGGTTTACAATTCTGTAGCAATTACTACCAAGAAACTTCAGTCTCATGGTTTAGAGGAATGTCACAACTGCTGGTGAGACTTGCTGTCCCTCTAGGCTGTTTCTCTAGGAGAGAAAACTTACGATAACACCTCTGTGTCCATGCCTGACACCCACTTATGTCTCTCCACTTGTGAGAGTCACTTTCAATAAGACACCTTTCTCCTTCTGCCACGACAGGACATGAGGCCAGCCCAGCAGTTATTTTTCAAATATTAACTCTGGAAGCAGACAAAGAATGGCTCCTATAAGGGTATATGACTGGCTGCAAATAACTGTGACTTCTGCAGAACTTATCAATTCAATTCTACACTTCTGGGGACTAGAGTCCTTCATGCTTTCTCTCACCTCTGCTTTTTTAATCTATTTTTCAGGATAGATCATATATTTTTATTAGTAGCATCATTCAAATTTTACTCACAGTGGTACTTTGTCACAGTTAGTTATTATATACCTAATTTTAGAATGACATATGTCGACTTGTTTGTAAGTATTTTAGTGCTAAAGGAAGCAAAGGACAAGTTGATATTTTAAGGATGTGACAAATCTGGTGACTTTGCAGTTGATAACATAAGCAAAATTGATGAATGTGTGCTGAGTATCTACAATAAGTCACACTTCTCCTAACACCAAGGACTTTTCAAGGAGCTCGACAATGGCATAGTTTTACAGGGGTCATGAAACTGTAAACAGAAAGATCAATACAATTTGTTAAATGCTGTAAGACTATGGAGGTGCTAACGAAAGAGAGGAAAGAAAAAATTATCTCTGGGCAAATTGAAGCTAGCCCTGTGATTGTCCAAGACTAGAACTTGTTTATGCTTTATGCACCTTCCTCAGCCCTCCCATAGCTCCTAGTATGACGTAATGTCAGGTGGGGTCTGAGCAAAATAATTAAGAACCAATTTGTGATCAAATATGTAGATGTTAGTTTCAATGAAAAAGAAAAAACCATAAAACTATAACAAGTCACAACTCAAAAAGACATGATATTTTTTCTCAGTTGTATTTCAAAGCTTTCTTTGTACCTTCGAGTTAATCTCTGCTTAGTATTTCTACAGAAATTTTCAGACTCATTCATTTTATATTATTGCATATAATTATTTTAAACCTTGTACTACTACATGTTCCTATTTAAATACCTTGATTTTGAAAGTCAGATTGCCCACAAATTCTGTTAAAACACACATATAAATAAAAAAGCTATTTTTACTAATTTTTTACATTTAATTAACAATTGTTGAATTCCGCTTAGACACATACCTAGATGTATTCCTGTTTAAATACACATATGTTTTTAGTTATGTGAAACCAGCTTCTTAATTATATAAAATTTTCTGATCTCAGGGCCCATGCTTCTATCTGTACAGCCTAGCTTGGCACCGAAGAAAGGTTCAATGACTGCAGCATGAAAGAGTACACATCATACACAATTTTATTAAAAGTTAATGAATGTCCACTTTCAAAGTAAACAAAGTGCCTCAATTTTAGAATTTATAAGAAAAGTGTCTTTGAACAGACCAGCAGATGACTCTGAGGGAATATGTTATTAGTCATAAGCCAACTTACTTTTCAGAAATACAAGTAACCATAATGTCATTGATGTTTATGACTGACTTTAGCAATACAAAACCAATAGTTACGCCCATATACACAAAAGTTCAAGATAGAAAGGAATTACACCAAGTGCTTTCATGAATTGACTGGCTCGCTGGAATCACGTCTATCAGCCTGTTAAGACTATCTAAGTCCATATCATATTGTATTAGACATAAAATAAATATGTGCTGATGAAAATTTTTGGTATTAATATGTTATTTTAGTAGGCCCTGGATTTTAGCTAAAAAGTAAAGAATAACTTTCTTATTGATGACATTAAAATCCCATTATTAAAGTCTGTCATAAGAGATTTCAAGAAGAGTCTCCAATTTCATGTCTCTTTTCTTTCAAAGTTAATTCTGCTGAATTCTTTATTTGTTGGACAAATTGGGTAATACAATGAAGAAATAATCAGAAAAAATAAAGAATATTTACTGTACTTTTGAAAAGAACAATAAATATGATATATTATTTTCTCCTCACCTATCCAAAAGATCATCACTCTGATATTCCTTTCAGGAAAATTTATACATGTGTATAAAATACTAAATGTTATAGGGAGTAGTGATGTTATGAGCCTAATGTCTTTACTCATATAACAGATGTTTTTGGGAACAATGAATAAGTGAAAAATATTTAGACACTCACACTCACACATACACACAAAAATAAGACAGAGTAATACTTTTTATTATAGTTCAGGTAATATTTTAATGTAAGTTGTTTTACTTAATCTGCCCATCAACACTATGCATTCAGTACTATAATCTCCACTTTAAAGAAAAGACAACAGATTTACAAGTTGTTAACCTAAAAGCACATAGGTAGATTAGAAGGGGAGCTCAAATATGCCTGGCTTTAAAGTTTATTTGTTTGTTTGTGTTACTATTATACTTTTGCCACTATACTTCATTGAAGGCAAAATCATACAATGAAAAATATAATTATTTTCTATCTTCCAGAAGTATTGCTGATCATGTATTTGACAGCTGCATGCACACTGAAGGATATAATGCACTATAAAAAATTCTTTTTATAATGTATAGATAAATTTAACTTGTTCCATAAGACAAATTTTTGCAGTCAGATCCTAACTCCATCATTTATTAGCTAAATGAGTAGTTATGAGCATGAACTCTGGAATCTGATTTACTGAGCAAGTTATACAACCTCTCTCGGCCTCAGTGCCCTCTTCTATAAAGTGAAGACATAGTGATTTTTCATAAGGATGCTGTCTTCACAGAAGATATTAATTAACACATGAAACACACTTAGGACAGTACTGGATACATAGTATTTACTCAATAAAAGGTACCTGTTTTAATTATTAACTGGAAAGTTACTTTACCTATCTTAGACTTAGGTTCCTTTCATAACCTTCTATGTTTTCTTTTAATACATTTATTACTCTTTGGATATAATTAATGTCTGTGTTCTCTATAATATTGTAAGTGACATGAGGTCAGAAACAATGATGTTTTGAGAGCAATTATTTTCTATTTTTCAGCCTGGTATGTAGTATGTGATCCCTAAAAAATGATAGATAGATGATTGATGGGTAGATGACAGATAGATGATAGATAGATAGATAGATAGAAAAAAAGAAGTAAAAAAAATAATGGAGATTATAATATTAGTTTTGTAAGGTAATGGGATTTTCCTGCAAAACAAAACACTGATGGTAACTTAAATGTGTATATTTTATTCATGTATAATCAGTCTGCTTTTGTCTCCTTCAACAGAATTCATCTGGAAATGTGCAGAATAAATCAAACCAGAGAGAAGAAATTTATCTTCCTGAGGTTGGCCAGTTGCCCGGCGTTGCATCTTGTCTTCTTTCTCTTGGTTCTATTAATTTGTATTTTTCTTTTTCTGGAAAACTTGGCCCTAAATCTGCACATCACATCCTCACACTGTCTCCTTGCCAATCTCTCAATCCTACAAATTCTGGTTAACTTTTTATTTGGCAAGTTCAATTCCATAGCCAATTTATATGAACAGCATAACATGGTCACATTCCCGTTAACCCAGTGTTTTGTCCCTGCAGCCATCTGTGGCAATCACATCCACATGGTCATCTGCCTTCCATGTAGTCACAATATTGGGTCCAAAGTGCTCCACGTTTATATGGCTGTCCTTCTCTATGTTTGCATTTCATGTAAACTTATTTAACATGGTGTTATCCCCAGAGCTGACGACATGGAATAGCATCATATCCTGCCACCTTGTGGCTACTCCGACCAAATAAAACCAAATTTCACCACACGCCATGTTGCTACTCCATAATGTGATGGAAGTGTATGAGAGTTCTAACTTTATATTTTCCAAACAAATTTGGAATCTTTCTACTCTTTGTAAGCCAGAAAAACTTCTCTGTTTTTGAATTTCACCTTATGAATATGTCTAGATAATGTTACCTCCTTGAAGGAATCAATAACACAAAACAGTAGCTGCCCTATATGTTTGTGACTCTTTTTGAACAACCAAATAAATAGAAATAGAAAGAACGTAACGTTTGAAAATAGTAGCATGATGGTTAATTTTATGTGTCAACTTGACTGGGCGACAGGGTGCACAAATACTTGGTAAAATGTTATTTCTGGGTGTGTCTGTGAATGTGTGTCTGGAAGAGATTTTACCATTTGAATTGGAAGACTGAGTAAAGGAGAGTGTTCTCACCAATGTGGGCTGGCATCATGCAATCTGCTGAGGGCCTGAATAGAATAGAAAGGCAAAAGAAGAGCAGATTTGTTTTCTCTGGGTGAGTTGGGACATCAATCTTCGCCTGCTCTTGGACAATGTTGGTGCTCCTGGACCTCGGACCTGCAGACTCTGACCAGGACTTAAACTATTTGTTCCCCTACCAGGTCTTCAAACTTAGACTGAATTAAACCACCAGCTTTCCTGGTTTTCCAGCCTGCAGGCGGCAAATCACAGGACTTTTTGGCCTTTATAGTTGCATGAGCCAGTTTCCATTGTGTGTGTGCGTGTGTGTGTGTGTAATCATGTAATGTTATATATATATATATATATATATATATGTAAAATCTTCATTCTATATATAGAATGCTTCTCTTTCTCTGGAGAACCCTGATGAATACAGATTTTGGTATTGAGAGTGGTTCTAGAGCAACATAATTTTAAGGATATATTTTCTTATCTGTTTCTGAGGTTTCTGGAATTGGCTCTTTAATTTCATTAGATTTAAAGATGCTAATGACTATTTAGAGTAGTCGAAAAAGCATTGATAGTCCATGACATAAACTGTTTATACATATATGCAAAGTATCCACATTGGATTATCCTCATCAGACACTTATAAGATATAAGGAACTATGTGACTCTCTATATACTTTTGTACTTTCTTAGAAAACTAAGGATTATAACGATATTGATTGGTTACTCTTAATGTCACTGGACAAAGTGCTGAAAGATAAGGATGAGCTTGGGGATTTTAATTTCCAGTCCAACCCTGAGAGCTTCTATGTATGTCTGGAAGGAGATCCTTGTCTCCTGTAGCTTCAATTAGAGAATTGCAGAAAGGGATCCTATATGTTGCGTTGGGGGTTTGTGGGAAGATCCTGATGAAGCTGGAAAGACTGAGCCCCTAAATTCTGATAAGTGCTATCTGACAGTGAAAGAGGTTTCCCTACTCCTATACTCCTAGTGGAATTGGCCTCCCCGTTCCCAGTGGTATCAGCTTTTCCACCTATGTCTTGGGTAATTAACTCCATATTGCCAGAATAAATGGTAAAGACTTCCCCTGAGGCAGTTTCCATACAAGACAATACAGATTCTTTTTGGGGCCCACCTTTACCACCCTTCTTTGCTTCTAAACTTATAACTAAACCCAAGTACCAACAGCCCCTGAAAGAAGAGGTACCAAGCAAGACCATGAGGTGGTGCACTAAAAAAGTAGATGAGTTTTCTAATTTATACAAACAGAAATCCAGGGAACATGTGTAGGAATGGATACTAAGCATATGGTAAAAGAGTAGAATGAAGATATAGTTGGATCAGGTCTAATTTGTCAATATGAGCTCATTAAACAGAGATTCTCCATTTAATGTTGCAACTTGGGGAGTTAGAAAAAGCTCTAAGTTTGGTTGTTTGGCTGAAACATGAATCAAAAGATGGTCCACTGTGAGTAAACTGGAAATGTTTAACTTCCCTTGGTTTAATGTAGAGGAAGGAATTCAAAGGTCTAGAGAAATTAAAATTCAAGAGTGGACTTGCCATTGAAGACCTACTCACCCATACTGGAAGGGTTCAGAAGACAAGCTTTTCACCAATACATTGATAAATAAACTTGTGAGGGGAAACTGCAACCACACAATTGGAAAATCAAAATGCAGTAATAGTAACTAGATCATGGGGTGGCAGAGGCCAGGTGGTGGCTTTCAATGGCCCAAGGCAAGGTGGGCATAGTTACCATAATGAACAGCAGGTTAAAGCATCAAATAGAATAGTCTGACCCACACGTATCTATGACATTGGCTAGCACAGGCTAGTTAATTATGGTGTTCCCAGTTGTATAAGTAAATAGAAAGCCCACTAAATTCTTACTTGATCTGAATATGCAAAAACATTTTAGGTCAAGTGAACAAAAGTCTATTCTGAATTATAATAACTGATAGTTACAGTCCCTCAATCAATTTGTAGACTTGAGGCAGTTTACAGACCCAGAACTCCTTAAATGAAGGGGAGACAAGGTCTTCTCAAGGAAGATTTCCATATATTGCTAGGTCCCACAGAGAGGGACCTTTTATCTGGGTAACTGCATTGGAGAAAAGGAGATAATCAGACTTTTGAGTACTACTTGACACTGGCTCTGAACTGACAATTTCAGGCTCACAACATCATTATAGCCCCTTCAGTCAGTAGGGGCTTATGATGATTAGATTATCAGTGAATTCCATCTCAAAGTGGGCCCAGTGGGTCCCTGAACTCAGCCTGTGGTTATTTCTCTGGTTCTAAAATGCATAAATAGAATAGACATACTGGCAGAATCCCCATGTTGGTCCTCCTACTTGTGGAGCTTGGGTAAAAGAAATAGTTGAAATAATTTATTTAAAGTGTTTTGTGAGCACAAAGAAAGAAAAAAATTATCTTGACAAAAAGCTTTTTGGGTAATTCTCCCAGAGAAGGTAACCACTGAGATGGGTTTTGAAAGTTGAGTAGGAATTTCAAAGGGTAGAGGATGAATTGCAAAGACTTTTCCTAAAGAGTGAACCAACTGATCAAGAAGAATAGCTTGGTTGTGCTTATGACACAAATAATAGATAGGAAAGTAGTAAATAATAAAGTTGAATAGTAAACTAGATCAGATAAGGCAAGAATGAAATGCTTTTTTAACAAATTTAGACTTAATTGGATCTACATGATGTGGTGATTTGAACGTATCCTCAAAAATAATGTGTTGGAAAGTTAATCCCCACCGTAACAGTGTTAAAAAGTAGGGCCTAATGGGATGTGATTAGGTCACAAAAGTTACAACCTTGTGGGATTGATAAAAAGGCTAAATAAAGGATTACTTTTTTTAAAAAAGCAATTATAAATGGGCTTGAGGCTGCAAGTTCTCTAACTTGCTGTCCCCTTTTCTTGCCCTCTGCCTTCCTCCATGGGCTGACACAGCATGAAGGCCTTTAGATAGATGTCAGCACCATGCATTTTGACTTCTCGGTTACCAGAACTATAAAACAGGTACATTTCTATTTACTATAAATTACTTAGTCTGTGTTATTCTGTTGTAGCAGCATAAAACAGACTAAGAGAAATTTGGTACTCAGAAGTGTGGCTGTTCTATATCAGCTGAACATGTGAAAGTGGCCTTAGAACTGAGTAATGAGTAGAGGCCAAAAGAATTTGCAGGAACAGTCTAGAAAAAGCCTAGAATGCCATGAGTGGAGGTTTAAGGGTGATTATGGTGAGGGCCAGGAAATGTAGGGAAAGTCTGGAACTTCTTAAAGACTACATGTGTGGCTATCATCAAAGTGCTGGTAGAAATAGGGGTAGCAAAGGCCATTCTGAAAAGATCTCAGGTGAAACTGAGAAACAATGTACTGGAAACTAGAGTAAAGGCCATCTTTTTTATACAGTGGCAAATAAATTGGCAGAATTGTGTCCATGTAGCAGGGCTCTGTGGAATACAGAACTTAAGAGTGGTGAGCTAGACTATCTGGAAGAAGAAATATCTGCGAAGCAAAAAATTAAAGGTGGTGCACAGCTTATTTTGGGTGCTTACAGTAAAATGAGAGAAGAAAGAAAAAAAAGATAGAATTTGTAATGAAAAGGAAGCAGCATGAAGCGATTTAGAAAACTCTTAGCCTGGCCATGTAAATAATAAAAAAGCATGTTTGGGACAGAATACTAAGGAAGTGTTCATGTAGGATACAGTAAATTCCTCTTCAAAGTTTAGCCTGTTAACTTCAAGAAGGAGAAAAATTGTTAAGTACAAAGAGTTCTGAGTTCCACTTCAAAGAACCAATCAATATGTCAGTATGTTTAGCTTCCCTGTTCTTTGTTCTCCATTTTAAAGTTTAACCTCCTCGTTCTTTACATCTCCTTGCCCCTAGTTTCAGTAAACAACCCCCTCCTAGCCTCTATCACCTGTTCTGTCCTTAGTCATCCTCAGTCACCTGCTCTGTCCTTAGTTATCTAGTCATCTACACTGTAACCGTCCTTCCCGCCGAAACTACTCACCCTGCCACTCTGGCTCATACCCCTGCTCTCTTTAAAATAGCCAGTCAGAATTAGCTTAGACTGTGTGGTCCAACCCCAGCCAATAGGGGAAAGACAGCAGTAGGGACTAGCTGCTTTAGGATAAGCACCTCTTCCCCTCCCTTGTACGGTGTGCTCTCGCCATCGCTCCATCCTTGAGATGCACCCTTCTATAGAAGTAAATTGCCTTGGTGAGAAAACTTTTGCCTGAGTGCTAGTTTCACTTTGTAGCACCGAACATTTACTTCCAACAATCATTTGCTACAGAGATGAACATAAATAGAAGGAATCCAGGTTGGATTTATCAAGACAATGGGAGGATGACCCTGAAAGCATTTCAAAGATCTTGTGGAAAAGCTGGGATTTTTAGGGCAAAGAATCCAGAGAGATACATAAATATATGTTTAGTTTTTAACTGGAAGTGAGCTGGGATGTACTGTATGTAGTACAATCATATATTTTAACGATGTGGAAACTGAAATAGGGTGACTAGCCTAAAACTAATGGACTAGCTTGTGAAAACAGGATTTCTCGTCTCAAAAAAAAAAAAAAAAAAGAAAACAGGGTTTCTCAGTAGAACTAAACTGCCTTTCCTTGGTTTTATTTCTAGTTAAATGTCGTAATAAATTTACCAGATATTGCTTCCGTGTACCTGGAAAGCATAGACATTTTGATTCATTGTAATCAATGTTTAATCATGAAATTAGATGAAATAACAGCAAGTGAAGCATGTTAGTGCATGTTAGTGGCTAGAGAGAGGAGATTCATAGTCAAAGCTGCTTTCTTCTCTCAGTGAGCTCACTCAACAGCTTTTTGAATTTGAGAAAATTGAATTTTCTTTCTAAGGCTCAGTTCCTTCAATATATAATGGGTCTAATAATATTTATTTCATATTTTTAATATTTACATAAAATTATACATAAAAAGTTCTGTACATTGAATTTATAAAAACTTTTTATTTTAAGTATACTTAATTACCCCAAATTTTAACATCTGTATGTGGTACATCATGGCCTAGGAAAATAAAGAATAATAAAAATTATCCTAATCATTTGCACTCTAGATTTCTTCAATTATATTCATTTACTCTTGGACTTTTCTACAAACAAAGCAACACAAAATAAACAAAGAAAAAGAAGGGGAGCAAAAATACCCTATGACTTTTTTTTTTTTTTCAAATGAATGTATGCTCACCGTAATGATACCGTGTGGTAGAACATGTTTTTGCTGCATTAGTGGCCAAGTGAAAAGAGTGAGTAAGGTGTTCCTTTTTGAGTGCAGTTCTTTCTGCCAAGTAATGGAGGGAGTGAGGTAGAACGATGCCCAGTGATACACGATAAGCAATAAGTAAAGTCATTACCAAGAGATGTGAAAAAGAGGACACAGAAGAGATGTTAAGCCATTTTAAAATCCATGTTCAACATCACTGAGCTGTCTTCAGGGAACATTTAATTGGCAGAAATGACTGCTTCTTTGTGATTTCTTTTTAATGCAACAGGGAAAAGGAGTCAACTTTATAAACACAAGCAAACCTTTCCTTATTTATTATCTCTGAAGGCCCATTGGTTTTCCTGCTTCTTTATAGGTAGGGCTGTCTATTTGTGTGTGTGTGTTAGGAACTAGACAAAGTGTTGCTATTTATATTTAGAAGCCAAATACTTATTCAGTAGAAATGATGCATGATTAGAAATAGTTAAATAACTTCATAGGAGTATGGGTGGTTATATAGGTATCAATGCACACAATCTGAGAATTTGTATTTGTTCTAACTACTGAACAAATGGGACTAAGAAAGTAAAATTTCTTGCAATGGCTTTATGTGCCTCACATGTTGTCAGATCTTTACATAGATTATAACTTTTAATCCTCAAAAGATATTCCTTCAACAACATTTTGAAGTGAGAAAACTAAAGCTCAAAAAAGTTATGTAAGCTGTCTACAATTGTAGAGCTAACATGCAGCATAGTTGTAATTTTTTAAGTCAAATAAGGCAAGTTCCAAAACTTTTGAGTTGGTTTTGGGAGATGAATACCAGTACTAAGGATGTTGGAAACATTTTAGCACAAAATAATTTTAATGTTTTGGAAAGTACAAATGTACATGGCAGACTATTTCTAAGGAAGGTGGGATGTAAGGTTAGGACATGAATATATAGAAGAGTGCAAGATGATGTTCCAGTGTTCTCCAGAAAAAAAGATGAAGAAAAGATTGCAAAGCATCTAACTACCCAATCCTCATGAAAACATATGCATGCACACTGAAATAATTAAAAACTACATGTGTATGCATGCATGCATGTACACATGTGTGTATTATATATGTCTATGTGTATACATACAATATACATAGTCAGGGAGACTTTATATACATAGTCAGGGGAAGAGAGAGAGAGGTTAAATCACCATCCTTCTAAAGATAATAGTTCCTATTACATGAACAGCCTTTTAGTTCGTCAAAGCACCTTAATGTGTTCACTAGGCAAAGTTGGAGCTAGAGTAGAATTTGAGATTAGGAGACCCCAAAAGGTGAAGAACTTAGAATAAAAATATAGAGAAAAATACAGTTTTTGAGGTCATTTTAGAAGAGAAGGAAGGAGAGGTGAGAAATAGGAGGGGAGTAGAATTAAGAGAAACCAGGGAGGTATCATGAATTGGGTTAAGTGCTGTAAAATAACCGGTGACAAATCCTCTATGATTAGGCAACAGGTAGAAAATTTGAGAAATATAATAGATTTAATGTTTTAATTTTAATTTTTATTCTCTTTTGCAACAAATATCTATCTTCTACTTGCCTTCCACAGAGTTGCAATATTATCTGTGTCTGTGTGTTTGCATACTTGTAAACATTACAGATTTCTAAATGGCGTGGAATAGATAGGAGTTTTAAGATGATTTTGAAAGGTCTCAAGTTGCTGACATCAGGATTATCTAAGCATTATCCTTACATTTTATAAGTCATACCATAGTCCTTGAATATAATCTCTCACAGATTAATTTAATTCTAACTAATAACAATCACTTCATATGTTTTCATCTTATATAGCAGTCAAGTTTACAATAATCTTATTAAGCACCAACCTTAAGAGTATTTATATTAGTTAGATAACGGATTAAATTCCTATGAGAACAAAACAAAATAACAGTTAAACAAATTAGAAGTTTATTTCTCATTTATGTAAAATTCTGAGCTAGTATGTCATATCAGCTCTGCCAAGGTTTTAGGAGCTCCAACTAATTTACTCTTCTTTCTCTGCTTTCTATAAAGAGTTACTCTCATCTATATGATTCAGGATGGCTCAGCACTATATCCACATTACAGCCAGTGAGAGGCAGAAAAGAAGAAGGGAAGGGCAAACCTGTTTTATCAATGGATGGATAAAAGTAGCTTAATTTTCTTTTATTACATTCTCTTGGCCAGAAGCTACCCTTTTGCCATAGCAAATCTAATTTTAGAATTTTAAAAAAAGGAAATTCTGGTCATTTTTGTTTTGTTTTCTTTGGCTTTGTTTTTTAAAATTTATTTAACTTATTTATTTTTAAGAGCTGTCCCATAATTATCAGTTCTGGCTCTGAGGAGCAAATACTTAACCTGGTTAAGGGAAAGGTACTAGCTTCTAGTGCAGGCTCAGGCTCTGTCAAATCTGTCTGTTGTCTGGATGTCTGGATGATCACTTAGCCATCTAATCACTTCGCTATGCATGCTCAGTATGCACAAATATAGACAGACATGTTGGACAAAGTCATTTCCATGCTCTAATTCAGGTCTGTCGCTCCAAAAAATTACCTACTCTGAAGTTTATGAAATTAACTAGAAGCATGTTAGTAGACATTTTGAAAATTTTTCTGTAAAATTTTCAATTGGTATCCTCCTCAAATATTTATCTTTTATTTTCCCCCAAAAGTAGCAGCTAGTCTAAATTAGCATATTCTGTTTGTCACATAAAGAATGAGCTAAAATGTATTTTTAGTTTTTTACTACCTATCCTTATAACAGGAACCTAAGGGATTTTATCTGACATGGCATGGAAGAATTAACTGTAATCAGAAAAAGAATGTCAGGTACCAGGTTCTCAACTTACAGTTAAGTTAGATAACTTATAGCTAAGTTATCTAAACAATTAATTTACAAAAGTGCTGAGTATTCATTTGTTTATTAGCACTAGTGGCAAAATCTGAGCAATAAAGATGTGAGATAAAAAAGCAAAATGTAAAAAAAAATAGACACAGTAGAAATGAATATGAGTAAGAAATTAAGTGACATAAACCGAAAAGATTAGACCCTGTTTCAATTAAATCACTATCTCTAGTGTCTCCTGACACAAAACAAATTTAGAAAAACTGCAGAGGAGCAATGCAAAACAATGTTTCAAGAAAATATAAAAATGTTTGCCCTTTAGAAAATATCTACTAATCCAACATTCTCATTTCCCACTGAAGGAAATTATGAGAAGAAACTGTACATTGGTGACTGAGTTCATTCTCCTGGGACTGGCCAATCACCGGGAATTACAGATTTTCCTCTTCACGCTGTTTCTCACCATTTACATGGTCACGGTGGCAGGAAATCTTGGCATGATTGCCCTCATCCAGGCCAACGCCCCGGCTCCACACGCCCATGTACTTTTTCCTGAGCAACTTATCCTTTGTGGATCTGTGCTTCTCTTCCAATGTGACTCCAAGGATGCTGGAGATTTTCCTTTCAGAGAAGAAAAGCATTTCCTATCCTGCCCGTCTTGTGCAGTGTTACCTTTTTATCACCTTGGTCCACGTTGAGCTCTACATCCTGGCTGTGATGGCCTTTGACCGGTACATGGCCATCTGCAACCCTCTGCTTTATGGCAGCAGAATGTCCAAGAGCGTGTGCTCTTTCCTCATCACAGTGCTTTATGTGTATGGAGCACTCACTGGCCTGATGGAGACTATGTGGACCTACAACCTAGCCTTCTGTGGCCCCAGTGAAATTAATCACTTCTACTGTGTGGACCCACCACTGATTAAGCTGGCTTGTTCTGACACCTACAACAAGGAGGTGTCAATGTTTGTTGTGGCTGGTTTCAACTTCACTTATCCTCTCCTTATCATCCTCATTTCCTATCTCTACATATTTCCTGCCACCCTAAGGATCTGCTCTACAGAAGGCAGGCACAAAGCTTTTTCTACCTGTGGCTCCCATCTGACAGCCGTTACTATTTTCTATTCAGCTCTTTTCTTCATGTATCTCAGACGTCCATCAGAAGAGTCCATGGAGCAGGGGAAAATGGTAGCTGTATTTTATACCACTGTAATCCCCATGTTGAATCCCATGATCTACAGTCTGAGGAACAAAGATGTGAAAGAGGCATTATGCAAAGAACTGTTCAAAAGAAAATTGTTTTCTAAATAAACATTACTACTGATTTTTGTTGTGTTGTCATTTTATTTACCCTATGATTTTTCATAGAGCATAGTCTGATACAAATATATCCAAAATTATATATTTTCCTAGAAGTGTTGGGGAATTTTTATGAAGTGTGAATACAAGAAAAAATGAGTATTTACATCAATTAACAGGAATTTTGAATTCAATATAGTTTTGCCTGCCCATACCCCAAAGTAAGAAGCTCTATAGTGAAGAATCAATGTAAATTTTAAAAAATCTAATTTATACTTTAGAGAAAAAAAATCCTTAAAACCAGACCTGGGTTTTCTTTTTGCAAGGAGTTAGGCATATAGTTTTAGACTGCTTCTTAAACATATATTAAGCTTTTTTTAAAAAAAACAACAACAACAACAGCAACAACAAAAAGAAAACAGCATCTCACTCCATCACCCAGGATGGACCTGAGTGCAGCGGTGTGATCACAGCTTACTGCAATCTTGATCTCTGGTGCTCAAATCATCCTCCCACCTCAGCCCCTCACCTCTGCCATAGTAGTTGGGACTACAGGTGTACACCATGATACCTGACTAATTTTTGTGTTTTTTTTTGTAGAGACGGGATTTCACCATGCTGCCCAGACTGGTCTTGAATTGCTGAGCTCCAGTAATCTACCTGCCTGGGCTTCCCAAAGTTTAGGAATTACAGGTGTAAGCCACTCTGCCCAGCCTATAATAAGCTTTAAGAAAAATAGCAGTTCTGCTAAACTCTACTAAATACTTTTGTGTCTTACAAAGAAAGTCAACATTCCACTTTACCATATTCAACCTAAAATATGAGCCTCATCCCTTGTACACTCAGCTGTCATCTCAGCTGTTGCCTCTGCCTGTACCAACCTCATCTCCAGCCAAAAACACACCAACACTTTGGTCCACAGTGAGGCACACTTATGTTTCCACAGTCCATACCTGGTTTATTTCTTGGCTTTTTAGAGGAAAAATAAATGGCTAGTAGACTTCTAAATTGAATGTTACCTAAAAGTCTGTCTAAGGAGATCCAAGGCTAACAGACAATCTGTTCAATGCATGTCTAAAACCACATCAACCCAAAAGGTGTAACATGTGGTTGTAATGATACTATCATCACAGATTTGCATGGGATCACTGTCTTCCAGTCTTGAAGATGTGTGTTTTTGGGTGTGGAGGCCTATAGTTCCCCTAGAGGTAACCTAGAACTTAAGATATAATCACATACAAGGAAGCGAGAGACTAATGATGAGGTGTGTGCAAGGTGAGAAATTAGAACACAGATGCCCTCATGAAATTCGGATTATTGAAGGGCTACAACCTCTAGAGTAGGACAGAGTCAACAACAGCAACAACAAGGATGAAACTAGTCCGTTTAGACTTGGTTTCATGGAGGAGTTAAAAAGTCTTATTTAAGAATTTATGACAATAATTAATGCTCATGTTAAGTCAGCATTTATATTTATACTGCTTTGATGGGCTATCAAATCTCAAGCTAAATAATGAAGAACATAAAGAGGCCCAGGTTAGAAGAAGCTTCATGACACTGGAATAAGCAAACATAAACATAAGTCAGAGAATGGGTTATCAACCACTGAGACTTCAAAGATAGCCCACTGAAAAAGTTCTAATTCACAGAAATTTTCCAGGAAAATAAGAAATAAAAAGCACAAATGAATATCTTTAATTTATTTCAGATATTAGGATTACTTGATGCAAATTGTAAAATAAAGATATTTAATCATTGAAAATAAATGTGAAAATTTAAACTCTAAGACCATGTATATATGTGTGTACATATGTATGTGTACATATATATATGCAAAGACTGATTATAGAAACCAATAATTATATATAATATGTAGAGTTCCAAGCATATCTGCAGGCTGAAGGAGAGTCTCTGTGTTTTATAGGCATTGAAGCATTTTTAGAGTGGATAGGCAGGTATATAAATTTTCACATTGAAAGGAAGAGGAAGAAACAGCTAAGTCCCTCTCATGAGGCTTTAAGTGGTCTTGGAGAGTCAGCCTTTCTCTTCTTCTTCCTTAGTAAATTTCATGCAGACCTTGGCAGCCTAATCACTACAATCCTGCATCAGTGAGTCCTCTGAACTGGCACCATAGTTCACTAGGAAAGGCACTCATCCACCAAGTTCAGAGAGGTGGCCATCCGCATTGCTAAACAGAATAAAACAAAAATTCACTTTGTCATCTGCCTGACATTGGCCTTGCTATAAGATAGCCTCATAAACTGCCTGAAAGGCCTTATTCTTTTCAAAGGATTTTGTGCTGTCTTCAAGTGATATTTTTCTCCATGTCAGAAATAAAATATTTCAGGATTGACCTGCCTCAAATTTTAGTTTGTCTTGGTTATTGGCCATTGCATGTATAAGTCTAATTGTGTGACAGAAGTTTCCGATACTCTGCTTCATGAAGTACCCTTTAGGACTATCTCCTTGTCTCTTCAGTTCTTCAATCAATTTTTCCTGAAGTTCTTGTGTGAGGCTCTGATACAAAGAGTAGGCAGGTGCTGGCATCCAGCCCAGAGCCACCCTTTCCAGCCCTAGCACATCCTTAAAGCACCCCTGACCAGCACCCTCAACCTGGCCAACAGGTTTTTCAGCATCTACAGGTTAACCTCCATGGGCTTGAGCTGCACCTTCACAAATCACAAGAGAAACCACAACACAGAGTACAGGGAAAACAGCTTTTCAAAATTGGTAAGGTTAGTAGTGGTGTTAAGATATCACCCTGTCTTCCTATTTGAATACCCTATTTTTTTTTTGCCTGATTGCCCTGGCCAGATCTTCCAATACTGTGTTTAATAGGAGTGGTGAGAGAGGGCATCCTTGTCTTGTGTCACTTTTCAAAGGGAATGTTTCCAGCTTTTGCCCATTCAGTATGATATTGGCTGTGAGTTTGTCATAAATAGCTCTTATTATTTTGAGATACATTCCATCAATACCTAGTTTATTGAGAGTTTTCAGCATGAAGGGGTGTTGAATTTCATAGAACGCCTTTTTTTCTTCATCTATTGAGATAATCATGTGGATTTTGTCATTCGTTCTGTTTATGTGATGGATTATGTTTATTGACTTGGGTATGTTAAGTTAGCCTTGCATCCCAGCGATAAAGCCAACTTGATCGTGGTGGATAAGCTTTTTGATGTGCTGTTGGATTTGGTTTGCCAGTATTTTATTGAGGATATTTGCATCGATGTTCATCAGGGATACTGGCCTGAAATTTTCTTTTTTTGTTGTGTCTCTGCCAGGTTTTGATATCAGGATGACGCTGGCCTCATAAAATGAGTTAGGGAGGAGTCCCTCTTTTTCTGTTATTTGGAATAGTTTCAGAAGGAATGGTACCAGCTCCTGTTTGTACCTCTGGTAGAATTCGGCTGTGATTCCATCTGGTCCTGGGTTTTTTTTGATTGGTAGGCTATTAATTATTGCCACAATTTCAGAACTTGTTATTGATCTATCCAGGGATTTGGCTTCTTCCTTGTTTTGGAGATGACATGACTGTATATTTAGAAAACCCCATTGTCTCAGCCCCAAATCTCCTTAAGCTGATGAACATCTTCAGCAAAGTCTTAGGATACAAAATCAATGTGCAAAAATCACAAGCATTCCTATACACCAATAACAGACAAACAGAGAGACAAATCATGAGTGAATTCCCATTCACAATTGCTACAAAGAGAATAAAATGCCTAGGAATCCAACTTACAAGGGATGTGAAGGACCTCTTCAAGGAGAACTACAAACCACCACTCAAGGAAATAAGAGAGGACACAAACAGATGGAAAAACATTCCATGCTCATGGATAGGAAGAATCAATATCATGAAAATGGTCAAACTGCCCAAAGTAATTTATTGATTCAATGCTATCCCTGTCAAGCTACCATTGACTTTCTTCACAGAATTAGAAAAATCTCTTGTAAATTTCATATGAAACTGAAAAAGAACCCATATAGCCAAGACAATCCTAAGCAAAAAGAACTAAGCTGGAAGCATCATACTACCTGACTTCAAACTATACTACAAGGCTACAGTAACAAAAACAGCATGATACTGGTACCAAAACACATATATAGACCAATGGAACAGAACAGAGGCCTCAGAAATGATGCCACACATCTACAACCATCTGATCTTTGACAAACCTGGCAAAAGCAAGCAATAGGATAAAGGATTCCCTGTTTAATAAATGATGTTGGGAAAACTGGCTAGCCATATGCAGAAAACTGAAGCTGGACCCCTTCCTTATGCCTTAGACAAAAATTAACTCAAGAGGGATAAAAGACTTAAACGTAAGACCTAAAGCCACAAAAACCCTAGAAGAAAACCTAGGCAATACCATTCAGGACATAGGAACAGGCAAAGACTTCATGACTAAAACATCAAAAGCAATGGCAACAGAAGCCAAAACTGGCAAATGGGATCTCACTAAACTAAAGAGCTTCTGCACAGCAAAGGAAACTATCATCAGAGTGAACAGGCAACCTACAAAATGGGAGAAAATTTTTGCAATCTATCCATCCAGAATCTATAAGGAACTTAAACAAATTTACAGGAAATAAACAAACGACCCCATCAAAAAGTGGGCAAAAGATATGAACAGACACTTCACAGAAGAAGACATTTATGTGGGCAATAAACATGTGAAAAAAACCTCATCATCACTGGTCATTAGAGAAATGCACATCAAAAAAACACAATGAGATACCATCTCACGCCAGTTAGAATGGCGATCATGAAAAAGTCAGGAAACAACAGATGCTGGAGAGGACGTGGAGAAACAGGAATGCTTTTACATTGTTAGTGGGAGTATAAATTAGTTCAACCATTGTGGAAGACAGTGTGGTGATTCCTCGAGGATCTAGAACCGGAAATACCATTTGACCCAACAATCCCATTACTGGGTTACATACCCAAAAGATTATAAATATTCTACTATAAAGACACATGCACATGTATGTTCATTGCAGCACTATTCACAATAGCAAAGACTTGAAACCAACACAAATGCCCATCAACCATAGACTGGATAAAGAAAATATGGCACATATACACCATGGCACACTATGCAGACATAAAAGAGGATGAGTTCATGTCCTATGCAGGGAAATGGATGAACCTGGAAACCATCATTCTCAGCAAACTAACACAGGAACAGAAAACAAAACACTGCATGTTGTTCTCACTTATAAGTGGGTGTGAACAATGAGAACACATGGACACAGGAAGGGGAATATCACACACCAGGGCTTGTCAGGGGTTCGGGGGCTAGGGAAGGGATAGCACTAGGAGAAATACTTAATGTAGATTACAGGTTGATGGGTGCAGCAAACCACCATAGCACATATATACCTATGTAACAAACCTGCAGGTTCTGCACATGTATCCCAGAACTTAAAGTGTAATAAAACAAATGTATGTCACCTTGTTAAAAAACAGATAGTAGAAAAACCAGCAAAATGAGAACTGGTGCTATATAAAAATGTATTCAAAGAACCAAGTAACATATGACTTTGTGCTCAACTTTAATAATCATTAGGGAAGTACACATTACAATTACAAGATATTTGTGTTTTTATATATCTGTACCTATATGTTGCTAAATGACAAAAAGAAAAAAATGATATTGCTAAGTACTGGTGGGACTATGGAACAATTGAATCTCTCACATAATGTTAGTGAGAATACAAATGGATACAACCAGTTTGGAAAACTATTAGGCAGCATAAATTTAAGCTGGACATATTTATACTCCATAAGCCAGCACTTCTACTCATAGTTACAGCAGTCAGACATGCATGAATATGTTCATGAAGAGATATGCACAAGACTGAATTTTGTAATAGCCACATCTGGAAATAACCTATATATAAAGTTTGGTGTACTTATTATACAGCAGTGCAGATGAAGGAATTATTTACATATTCATCACACTCATCATCATGAATAAAAATCACCAACATAATATTTAGCACCAATGTAGTGTTCATTGGAGACTAGACCTAACAAAATATGCACTGTATAATTTCTATTACAGAAAATTCAAAACCAGACACAATTAATCTACAGTGTTAAAAGCAAAGATATAGTTAATTTGAGGTTACTGACTAGGAAAGGGCATGAAGACAGATGGTGGAGTACTGGTAATCTTCTATTTGAGAATTTAGAAGCAAGTAATACAAGTATGTTCACTTTGTAAAAATTCATGAAGCAGGCCGGGCACGGTGGCTCGTGCCTGTAATCCCAGGACTTTGGGAGGCCGAGGCAGGTGAATCACGAGGTCAGGAGGTTGAGACCATCCTGGCCAGCACAGTGAAACCCTGTCTCTACTAAAAATACAAAAAATTAGCCAGGCGTGGTGGCGGGCACCCGTAGTCCCAGCTACTAGGGAGGCTGAGGCAGGAGAATGGCATGAACCCGGAGGCGGAGCTTGCAGTGAGCCGAGATCCCACCACTGCACTCCAGCCTGGGCAACAGAGCGACACTCTGACTCAAAAAAAAAAAAAAAATCATAATTCATGAAGCTGTACACTTACGTTTTGTGCTCATTATTTGTGTGTAAATTAGACTTCAATATAAAGCTTACTAAAAACGAATAAAAATAGTACTAGTCTTCAAGCAAGCAAAGCTTCATTCCAATATCAAAGCATTCTATTTACCTATCAGTACACAGAGGGTATTAGTTTGCTAGGGCTGCCACAAATAAGTACCATGAACTTGGTGACTTAAACATGCAGATTTATTTCCTCACAGTTCTAGAGGCTAGAAGTCCAAGATCAAGGTGTGGGCAAAATTGGTTTCATTCTGAGTTCTCTTTCTGGCTTGTGGATGATCATCTTATCCCGACCTCTTTACACTTTATTTTTCTGTGTGTATCTGTATTCTAATCTCTTCTTATAAGGATGCAAGTTATATTGGATTAGGGCACAGCTCACCCATTAGGCTTTATTTTACTAAATGTTCTCTTTAGATATTGTGTCTCCAACAGTCATGCTCTGTGGTGCTTGGAGTTAGAACTTCAGCATATGAATTTTGGAGAGGGAGGGAAGGGGCACAATCCAGTCCATAACACAGATTAAGAAACGTGAAAGGCTAATAGAAGTTTGACACAAAGTTTGTGACACTAGTACGAGAGAAACTGTATCAGAAAAGTTGAATTAAGTTGAAAGTAACATGGTAAACCTAAGGCAATGTGAGAATCCATGGCAGACATGAATGTTATCTTATGGATTTTCCAATGTAAGAAGGAAAATACTGAGAATGAAACATAAGGCAGAGAAGGACCAGAGAGTTGTGAGTTCCCATTTTAAATTTGTGTTGTGCCAAATGTCATATCTCTAGAGAAATTATTCAGTGAGAAAAAAAATCTGACAGAGTAATTGCTTCATTTTTGCATATCTGTGAAATCCCTTAGGGAAATAAAGTCATCATACAAATATTATAAATTATTCCTGTATTTGTCACCAGAAAAGCCATTTGATATTCTTTGTAAGGATAGCTCTTCCCTTATTCATAAATAAGTTTCTGCATGTGTTTGTAATCCTGGAACACTTGTTGTACAATCATATGTATTTTCAGAGTTAGATATATGATTGTGATGATTAAATGACTAGGTAGAAAGAAAAATGCCAATTACCAGAAAAATGTAGACACTTAGCATTTAAGGTACTTTTATTTGTTAAAGTCTTGAATAATGAGGATGGAAGTTAATGGCATAAAAATATAAGAGGCATGCTCTAGGATCTTTCACTCAATATAAATGAAAGCTAATATTTATTAAGGGTTTGCCACACATTGGGCACAGTGCTATGCATATCACATACCCCATTTTGTGAAATCCGAAAAAGAGTGCTTTTGTATTTGCTAATTTCATCTGTAATAGAAAAAAATTATAGCCCAGAATTATTAAGAAACATGACCCAGACTACTCAGATCAGAAGTTCTGACATCAGAATGTGAACTCAACCAGTCGACTCCCAAACGTATGTTTCTACCAGTACAGTATGCTTTATGGTTTGTAGTGGAATTTCTTTCTGTACTAACCATGAGGGAAATATGTTATTATCCATATCTATTATAGGCAAAATGTCATAGAATTGGTTTGAGGGTTGAATGTGTTAAAACTTATAAAATAGATTAGTGTTTGGCTTATAAGAAACACCATGTAAGTGCTGGTTAAATTAGTGGTAAAACTAAAACACAGAATAAGGAACATGTCAAAAGAACAGAGCAGCATTTCAGAAATATCTAACTCCAGATCCTGTGAATTGATTTTATGCTAAGGCTATCATATTTTTATCAAGGCATTCATCTTTGTGTTTGGTCTAGTCCTAAAACTTAAGAATGTCAACCGGATGTGTGCATTTGTCAAATACACAAAGTTGGGCACTTTAAATATATGAATTTCACTGTATATAAATTATTGCATAAACAACATTAAACATTAAACAAAGAAACAAAGGTGAAATCTGACAGGAGCTTGATATATAAAAATGAATGAAGGTATGTAGGGAAAAGAAAGAGAGATCAGACTGTTACTGTGTCTGTGTAGAAAGGAAAGACATAAGAGACTCCATTTTGAAAAAGACCTGTACTTTAAACAATTGCTTTGCTGAGATGTTGTTAATTTGTAGCTTTGCCCCAGCCACTTTGACCCAACCACTTTGACCCAACCTGGAGCTCACAAAAACATGTGTTGTATGAAATCAAGGTTTAAGTGATCTAGGGCTGTGCAGGACATGCCTTGTTAACAAAATGTTTACAAGCAGTATACATTGGTAAAAGTCATCGCCATTCTCTAGTCTTGATAAACCAGGAGCACAATGCACTGTGGAAAGCCGCAGGGACCTCTGCCCTTGAAAGCGGAGTATTGTCCAAGGTTTCTCCCCATGTGATAGTCTGAAATATGGTCTGAAACCAGGGGCACATTGCACTGCGGAAAGCCGTAGGGACCTCTGCCCTTGAAAGCGGGGTATTGTCCAAGGTTTCTCCCCATGTGATAGTCTGAAATATGGCCTTGTGGCATGAGAAAGACCTGACCATCCCCCAGCCCGACACCCGTAAAGGGTCTGTGATGAGGAGGATTAGTAAAAGAGGAAAGCCTCTTGCAGTTGAGATAGAGGAAGGCCACTGTCTCCTGCCTGCCCCTGGGGACTGAATGTCTCGGTATAAAACCCGATAGTACATTTGTTCAATTCTGAGATCAGATAAAAACTGCCCTATGGTGGGAGGTGAGACACGTTTGCAGCAATGCTGCCTTGTTATTCTTTACTCCACTGAGATGTTTGGGTGGAGAGAAACATAAATCTGGCTTATGTGCATGTCCAGTCATAGTACCTTCCCTTGAACTTAATTATGACATAGATTCTATTGCTCACATGTTTGTTGCTGACCTTCTTATTATCACCCTGCCCTCCTACTACATTCCTTTTTGCTGAAATAATGAAGATAATAATTAATAAAAACTGAGGGAACTCAGAGGCTGGTGCAGGTCCTTGATATGCTGAGTGCCGGTCCCCTGGGCCCATTGTTGTTTCTCTGTACTTTGTCTCTGTGTCTTATTTCTTTTCTCAGTCTTTCATCCCACCCAACTAGAAATACCCACAGGTGTGGAGGGGCAGGCCACCCCTTCAAAGGTACATCACTACTATGATTGAATAGATGTAGACACAGCTTTTACTCGATGTTGTATAAATCACAAATAAAATCTTTGTTTCAGATATTCAAAAATAACCTTCTATAAGATGTTCTTGTGAATATAGATGATTTTTATATAGAAAAATAGAAGGTACATTTCATTAATATCAGTGTTAACAGTTTTTGTTGTTGTTGTAAGTAACAGAACACAGCTCTGGTTATGCTAAGCAAAACCGGAACATTCTGAAAGGATGTTAGGGCTCCTAAATCAATGTGCGGTTAAAAGACCAGGCTTAGAGAACAGATAGCAGCCTAGGCAGGTGTGGAGGCTGAGCAGATCAAACCACACAGAATCAGTGTTTCTTTGCAACATCAGCCTGATCTTCAAACCTCACTGTAATGAATTAGATGAAAAAAAATTTTGTCAAACTTGAGTCATTAACTCACTCCCTTAAGACAAGGAGAGGCTAGCATCTGACCCCTGCTTAAGCCTTTCTAAACAGAGAATCTCATCTCTCAGTGGAAACTAGAAGTGGAAGATCAAGAGGACAGAATTTCCATGACTCTCAACTTGACACATTGGAAAATTTCCTCCAAAAAATTCAAGTGGAGTGTTAATGGCTGGAATTTAATAGCTGTGCAACCCTCGAAACGCAAATATGTAGATATTTTTCAAAATAAGGGGAACAAATCATGCCCTGCCTGGAAAATCTCTATTGCATTGAGTCTGGAGGAAGAAGAAAGCAACAAGTGAGCCCCGCTTGTTTGCTCAGGCTTCTCCAAGAGGGGATTGAACTGGTGAAATCTATTCAGAAATAACAAGATCATTCAGTCAATATTGTTCTTTGATATCTTGTTCTTTCCTCTCTCTAAACTCATTCTCTGCCAGAATTATAATCAGGAATAAAGAAATTGGTTAGTTTTAAATGTTATGTTTTGGGGCAAGTCCACCTATAAAGTACATTTCTCAAATATAAAGAGGGGCAGAATAAGAGAAGGAGAAAGAAGAGAAGAAGAATAGAGACAGAAGCTGAATTAGAAGGGAATGAAAAGAAAGACAAAGGGACATAAAACAAGAAAAATAAAGGGCAGTATCAAAAAAGGCAGAGAGCTGCTTTGAATATCCCTACTTTAGTTTACCTGAAACAAAGTTCATTAGAAATAAAATGAGGAAAACTGCTGAAAAGAGGGGAAAACTTTTGGTAAGAAGATTATTACTCTACTGGTAATAATAGTAATAATCATGTTGCTATTGTATTGCAATCAATATATATGTAAAGTTCCTTTCTCCCACTGAAGGAAATTATGAGAAGGAACTTCACGTTGGTGACTGAGTTCATTCTCCTGGGACTGACGAATCACCAGGAATTACAGATTCTCCTCTTCATGCTGTTTCTGGCCATTTACATGGTCACAGTGGCAGGGAATCTTAGCATGATTGCCCTCATCCAGGCCAATGCCCGGCTCCACACGCCCATGTACTTTTTCCTGAGCCACTTATCCTTCCTGGATCTGTGCTTCTCTTCCAATGTGACCCCAAAGATGCTGGAGATTTTCCTTTCAGAGAAGAAAAGCATTTCCTATCCTGCCTGTCTTGTTCAGTGTTACCTTTATATCATCTTGGTACACGTTGAGATCTACATCCTGGCTGTGATGGCCTTTGACTAGTACATGGCCATCTGAAACCCTCTGCTTTATGGCAGCAAAATGTCCAAAAGTGTGTGTTCCTTCCTCATCACGGTGCCTTATGTGTATGGAGCGCTCACTGGCCTGATGGAGACCATGTGGACCTACAACCTAGCCTTCTGTGGCCCCAACGAAATTAATCACTTCTACTGTGCAGACCCACCACTGATTAAGCTGGCTTGTTCTGACACCTACAACAAGGAGTTGTCAATGTTTGTTGTGGCTGGCTGGAATCTTTCGTTTTCTCTCTTCATCATATTTATTTCCTACTTTTACATTTTTCCTGCTATCTTAAGGATTCGCTCTACAGAGGGCAGGCAAAAAGCTTTTTCTACCTGTGGCTCCCATCTGACAGCTGTTACTATTTTCTATGCAACTCTGTTCTTCATGTGTCTCAGACCTCCATCAGAAGAGTCCATGGAGCAAGGACAAATGGTAGCTGTACTTTATACCACTGTGATCCCCATGTTAATCCCATGATCTACAGTCTGAGGAACAAGGATGTGAAAAAGGCTTTATCCAAAGAACTGTTCAAAAGAAAATTGTTTCCTAAATAAACATCAGTATTGATTTTTGTCATGCTGTCATTTTATTTAGCCTATAATTTTTTCATAGAGCTTAGTGCAATACAAATTTATCCAAAATTATACATTTTCCTTGAAGGGTTAGGGAATTTTTATGAAGTGTGAATAAAAGAAATATGAGTATTTACATCAATTAACAGATAGTTTGATATCAATATAGTTTTAACTGCCCATACCCCAAAGTAAAAATTTCTATAGTGAGGAATCAATGTAAATAAAAAAAAATCTAATTTGTATTTTAGAAAATAAAACCCTTAAAACCAGACCTGGGTTTTCTTTTTGGAAGGAGTTAGGCATATAGTTTTAAACTGCTTCTTAAACATATATTAAGCTATTTTTTTTTTTTGAAACAGCATCTCACTCCATCACCCAGGATGGACTGGAGTGCAGTGGCATGATCACAGCTTACAGCAACCTTGATCTCAGGGTTTCAAACCATCCTCCCACTTACACCCCTCACCCCTGCCACAGTAGCTGGGACTACAGGTGTGCACCACCATACCACACTAATTTTTGTATTTTTTGTAGAGACGGGGTTTCATCATGTTGCCCAGACTGGTCTTGAACTGCTGAGTGCAAGTGATCTATCTGCCTGGGCCTCCAAAAGAGTTTGCATTACATGGGTGAGCCACTGTGCCCAGCCTGTAATAAGGTTTAAAAAAGAGCACTTCTGCTAAACTCTACTAGATACTTTTGCCTATCTTACAGAGGAAGTCAGCATTCCACTTTACCATGTCCAACCTAAAACGTAAGCCTCATCCCTTGCACACTCAGTTGTCATCTCAGCTGTTTCCTCTGCCTGTACCAACCTCATCTCCAGCCTAAAACACACCAATGCTTTGGTCCACAGTGAGGCACACTTATGTTTCCACAGTCCATATCTGGTTTATTTCTTGGCTTTTTAGAGGAAAAATAAATGACCAGTAGGATTCTAAATTGAATGTTACCTAAAAGTCTGTCTAAGGAGACCCAAGGCTAACAGATAATCTGTTCAATGCATGTCTAAAACCACATCAACCCAAAAGGTATAACATGTGGTTGTAATGATCTTGAAGATGTGTGTTTTTGGGTGTGGAGGCCTATAGTTCCCCTAGAGGTAACCTAGAACTTAAGATATAATCACATACAAGGAAGACGAGAGACTAATGATGAGGTGTGTGCAAGGTGAGAAATTAGAACAGAGATGCCCTCAGGAAATTCGGATTATTGAAGGGCTGCAACCTCTAGAGTAGGACAGAGTCAACAACAGCAACAACAAGGATGAAACTAGTCCGTTTAGGCTTTGTTTCATGGAGGAGTTAAAAAGTCTTATTTAAGAATTTATGACAATAGATTAACGGTCATATTAATTCAGCGTTTATATTTACACTGCTTTGATGGGCTATCAAATCTGAAGCTAAAAAAACATGAAATAGGCCCGGCGTGGTGGCTCACACCTGAAATCCCAGCACTTTGGGAGGCCCAGGCGGTTGGATCACGAGGTCAGGAGATTGAGACCATCTGCCTAACACGGTGAAACCCCGTCTCTACTAAGAGTACAAAAAATCAGCAGGGCGTGGTGGCGGGCGCCGGTAGTCTTAGCTACTCAGGAGACTGAGGCAGAAGAATGGCCTGAACTTGGGAGGCGCAGCTTGCAGTGAGTGGAGATTGAGCCACTGCACTCCAGCCTGGGTGACAGAAGGAGACTCTGTCTCAAAACAAACATAAACAAAAACAAAAACAAGCAAACAAAAAACAAAACATAAAGAGGCCCAGGTTAGAAGAAACCTCATGACACTGGAATAAGCAAATATAAACATAAGTCAGAGAATGAATTATCAACTACTCAGACTTCAAAGATATCCCGCAGATAAGTTTCTAATTGACAGACATTTTCCAGGAAAATAAGAAATAAAAAGCACAAATGAATACCTTCAACTTATTACAGATATTAGGATTACTTGATGCAAATTATAAAATAAAGATATTTAATCATTGAAATAAGTGTGAAAATTAAAATTCGAAGACCATATATATGTGTGTATATATATGTATGTGTACATATATATGCAAAGACTGATTATATAAAGCAATAATTATATATAATATGTAGAGTTCCGAGCATATCTGCAGGCCGAAGGAGAGACTCTGTGTTTTATAGGCATTGAAGCATTTTACATTTTTTTTTATGTTCTCAGCACCTTTATTTATTTATTTATTTTTTTAGTATTTATTGATCATTCTTGGGTGTTTCTCGAAGAGGGGGATTTGGCAGGGTCATAGGACAATAGTGGAGGGAAGGTCAGCAGATAAACATGTGAACAAGGGTCTCTGGTTTTCCTAGGCAGAGGACCCTGCGGCCTTCCGCAGTGTTTGTGTCCCTGGGTACTTGAGATTAGGGAGTGGTGATGACTCTTAACGAGCATGCTGCCTTCAAGCATCTGTTTAACAAAGCACATCTTGCACCGCCCTTAATCCATTTAACCCTGAGTGGACACAGCACATGTTTCAGAGAGCACGGGGTTGGGGGTAAGGTTATAGATTAACAGCATCCCAAGGCAGAAGAATTTTTCTTAGTACAGAACAAAATGGAGTCTCCTATGTCTACTTCTTTCTACACAGACACAGTAACAATCTGATTTCTCTTTCTTTTCCCCACATTTCCCCCTTATCTATTTGACAAAACTGCCATCGTCATCATGGCCCATTCTCAATGAGCTGTTGGGTACACCTCCCAGACGGGGTGGCGGCCGGGCAGAGGGGCTCCTCACTTCCCAGACGGGGGGGCCGGGCAGAGGCGCCCCCCACCTCCCGGGCGGGGTGGCTGCTGGGCGGGGGCTGCCCCCCACCTCCCTCCCGGATGGGGCGGCTGGCCGGGTAGGGGCTGCCCCCCACCTCCCTCCCGGACGGGGCAGCTGGCCGGGCGGGGGCTGCCCCCCACCTCCCTCCCGGACGGGGCAGCTGGCCGGGCAGGGGCTGACCCCCACCTCCTGGACAGGGCGGCTGCTGGGTGGAGACACGCCTCACTTCCCGGATGGGGCGGCTGCCAGGCGGAGGGGCTCCTCACTTCCCAGACGTGGCGGCTGCCGGGCGGAGGGGCTCCTCACTTCTCAGATGTGGCGGCGGCCATGCGGAGGAGCTCCTGACTTCTCAGGCAGGGCAGCCGGGCAGAGACGGTCCTCACCTCCCAGACGGGGTGGCGGTCGGGCAGAGACACTCCTCAGTTCCCAGACGGGGTCGCGGCCAAGCAGAGGCGCTCCTCACTTCCCAGACTGGGTGGCCGAGCAGAGGGGCTCCTCACATCCCAGACGATGGGCGGCCAGGCAGAGACGCTCCTCACTTCCCAGACAGGGTGGCGGCTGGGCAGAGGCTGCAATCTGGGCACTTTGGGAGGCCAAGGCAGGCAGCTGGGAGGTGGAGGTTGTAGCAAGCCGAGATGACGCCACTGCACTCCAGCCTGGGTAACATTGAGCACTGAGTGAGTGAGACTCCGTCTGCAATCCCGGCACCTCGGGGGGCTGAGGCGGGCAGATCACTCGCGGTCAGGAGCTGGAGACCAGCCCGGCCAACACGGCGAAACCCACCAAAAAATACAAAAACCAGTCAGGTGTGGCGGGGCATGCCTGCAATCCCAGGCACTCGGCAGGCTGAGGCAGGAGAATCAGGCAGGGAGGTTGCAGTGAGCCGAGATGGCGGCAGTACAGTCCAGCCTCGGCTGGGCATCAGAGGGATACCGTGGAGAGAGAGGGAGAGGGAGAGGAAGAGGGAGACCGTGGAGGGAGAGGGAGAGGGAGACCGTGGAAGGAGAGGGAGAGGGAGAGCATTGAAGCATTTTAGAGTGGATAGGTAGGTATATAAATTTTCACATTGAAAGGAAGAGGAAGAAACAGCTAAGTCCCTCTCATGAGACTGTCTTGGAGAGGGTTACAGCAGAGAGGCTGCCTTTCTCTCCTTCCTCCTCAGTAAATTTTCTACAGACCTTGGCAGCCTAATCTCTACAGTCCTGCAGCAGTGAGTCCTCTGAACTGGCACCATAGTTCACTGGGAAAGGCATTCATCCATCAAGTTCAGAGAGGTGGCCATCCATGTTGCTAAACAGAATAAAACAAAAATTCACTTTGTCATCTGCCTGACATTGGCCTTGCTATGCAATAGCATCATAAACTGCCTGAAAGGTCTTATTATTTTCAAAGGATTTTGTGCTGTCTACAAGTGGTATTTTTCTCCACCTCAGAAATAAAATATTTTAGGATTGACCCACCTCAAATTTCGGTTTGTCTTGGTTATCGGCCACTGCTTATATAAGTCTAATTGTGTGACAGAAGTTCCCAATGCTCTGCTTCATGAAGTACCCTTTAGGACTACCTCTTGTCTCTTCAGTTCTTCAATCAACTTTTTCCTGAAGTTCTCGTGTGGGGATCTGATATAAACAGTAGGCAGCTGCTGGCATCCAGCCCAGAGCCACCTCTTCCAGGCCCAGGACATCCTTAAAGCACCTCTGACCAGCAACCTCAATCTGGCCAACACTTTTTTCAGCATATACAGGTAAATCTCCATGGGCTTGATCAGCACCTTCACAAATCAGAAAAGAAACCACAACCCAGAGTAAAGAAAAAACAACCTTTCAAAGTTAGTAAGGCTATTGGTGGTGTTAAAATATCACCCGGTTAAAAAACAAACAAACTGATAGCAGAAAAAAATGGCAAAATATGAACTGGTGCTATATAAAAACATATTTAAAGAACCAAGTAACTTATGACTTTGTGCTCAACCTGAATAATAATTAGGGAAGTGTACATTACAAGATATCTGTATCTTTATATATCTGTACCTATATATCTGTGTCTGTATGTTGCAGAATGACAGAAAAACTGATATTGTTAAGCATTGGAGAGACTGTGGAACAACTGACCCTCTCATATAATGCTAGTGGGAATGCAAATGGATATAAACAGTATGGAAAACTACTAGGCAGCATAAATTTAAGCTGCACATATTTATACTCCATAAACCAACACTACTGCCCAAAGTACTAACAGGCAGAAATACATGAATATGTTCGTGAAGAGATATGCACAAGATTGAATTTTGTAACAGCCACACCTGGAAGTATCCTATATGTGTATCAATAGTAGGAAGGATTTATTAATTTTGGTGTACTTACTATACAGCCGTGGAGATGAAGGAATTATTTACATATTCATGACACTCCTCATTTTGAATAAAAATCACCAACATAATATTTAGCACCAATGTAGTGTTCATTGGAAGGCTAGACCTAACAGAATATGCACTGTATAATTTCTATTATGGAAAACTCAAAAGCAGACACAATTAATGTACAGTGTTAAAAGTGAAGATGTAGTTAATTTGAGGTTAGTGACTAGGAAAGGGCAAGCAGAGAGATAGTGCAGTACTGTTAATGTTCTACTTGAGGATTTAGAGGCAAGTAATACAAGTATGTTCACTTTGTAAAAATTCATGAAGCTGTACGCCTACATTTTGTGCACACTTTCTGTGTGTAAATTAGACTTCAATATAAAGGTTACTAAAAACGAATAAAAATAGTACTAGACTTCAAGCAAGTAAAGCTTCATTCCAATATCAAAGCATTCTATTTACCCATCAGTACACAGAGGGTATTAGTTTGCTAGGGCTGCCACAAATAAGTACCATGAACTTGGTGACTTAAACATGCAGATTTATTTCCTCACAGTTCTAGAGGCTAGAAGTCCAAGATCAAGGTGTGGGCAAAACTGGTTTCATTCTGAGTTCTTTTTCTATCTTGTGGATGATCATCTTATCCCGACCTCTTTACACTTTCTTTTTCTGTGTGTATCTGTATTCTAATCTCTTCTTATAAGGATGCAAGTCATATTGGATTAGGGCACAGCTCACCCACTAGACCTTATCTTACTTAAATGTTCTCTTTCGATATCGTGTCTCCAACAGTCACGCTCTGTGGGGCTTGGAGCTGGAACTTCAGCATAAGAATTTTGGAGAGTGAGGGAAGAGGCACAATCCAGTCCATAACACAGATTAAGAAATGTAAAATGCTAATAGAATTTTGACACAAAGTTTGTGACACTGGTAGGAGAGAAACTGTATCAGAAAAGTTGAATTAAGTTGAAAGTAACATGGTAAACCTAAGGCAATGTGAGAATCCATGGCAGTCAGGAATGTTATTGTATGGATTTTCTAATGTAAGAAGGAAAATGCTGAGACTGAAACATAAGGCAGAGAAGGACCAGAGAGTTGTGAGTTCCCATTTTAAATTTGTGTTGTGCCAAATGTCATCTCTCTAGAGAAATTATTCAGTGAGAAAAAAAATCTAACAGAGTAATTGCTTCATTTTTGCATATCTGTGAAATCCCTTAGGGAAATAAAGTCATCATACAAATATTATAAATTATTCCTGTATTTGTCACCAGAAAAGCCATTGATATTCTTTGTAAGGACAGCTCTTCCCTTATTCATAGGTAAGTTTCTGCATGTGTTTTTAATCCTGGAACTCTACTTGCTATACAATCGTATGTATTTTCAGAGTTAGATATATGATTGTGATGATTAAATGACTAGGTAGAAAGAAAAATGCCAATTACCAGAAAAATGTAGACAGTTAGTATTTAAGATACTTTTATTTGTTAAAGTTTTGATTAATGAGGATGGAAGTTAATGGCATAAAAATATAAGAGGCATGCTCTAGGATCTTTCACTCAATATAAATGAAAGCTAATATTTATTAAGGGTTTACCACACATTGGGCACAGTGCTACGCATATTACATACTCCATTTTGTGAAATCCTAAAAATAGCACTTTTGTGTTTGTTAATTTCATCAGTAATAGAAAAAAACTATAGCCCAGAGTTATTAAGAAATATGACCCAGACTACTCAGATCAGAAGTTCTGACATCACAGTGTGATCTCAACCAGTTGACTCCAAAGCACATGTTTCTACCAGTACAGTATGCTTTATGGTTCGTAGTGGAATTTCCTTCTGTACTAACCATGAGGGAAATATGCTATTATCCATACCTATTACAGGCAGAGTGTCATAGAATCGGTTTGAGGGTTGAATGTGTTAAAACTTATAAAATAGATTAGCGTTTGGATTATAAGAAACACCATGTAAGTGCTGGTTAAATTAGTTGTAAAACTAAAACACAGAATAAGGAACATGTCAAAAGAATAGAGCAGCATTTCAGAAATATCTAACTCCAGATCCTGTGAACTGATTTTATGCTAAGCCTATTGCATTTTTATCAAAGCATTCATCTTTTTGTTTGGTTGAGTCCTAAAACTTAAGAATGTCAACCAGATGTGTGCATTTGTCAAACACACAAAGTTGGGCACTTTAAATATGTGAATTTCACTGTATATAAATTATTGCAAAAACAACATTAAACAAAGAAACAAAGGTGAAATCTGACAGGAGCTTGATATATAAAAATGAATGAGGGTACATCACTACTATGATTGAATAGATGTAGACACAGCTTTTACTCAATGTTGTATAAATCACAAATAAAATCTTTGTTTCAGATATTCAAAAATAACCTTCTATAAGTTGTTCTTGTGAATATAGATGATTTTTATATAGAAAAATAGAAGGTACATTTCATTAATATCAGTGTTAACAGTTTTTGTTGTTGTTGTAAGTAACAGAACACAGCTCTGGTTATGCTAAGCAAAACCGGAACATTCTGAAAGGATGTTAGGGCTCCTAAATCAATGTGCGGTTAAAAGACCAGGCTCAGAGAACAGATAGCAGCCTAGGCAGGTGTGGAGGCTGAGCAGATCAAACCACACAGAATCAGTGTTTCTTTGCAACATCAGCCTGATCTTCAAACTTCACTGTAATCAATTAGATGAAAAAATATTTTGCAACCTTGAGTCATGAACTTACTTAAGACAAGCAGGGACTAACATCTGACCCCTGCCTACTCCTTTATGGTTTTTTTTTTTTTTTTTTTTTTTTTTTTTTTTTTTTGAGACAGCATCTGGCTCTGTCGTCCAGGCTGGAGTGCAGTGGCACCGTCTTGGCTCACTGCAAGCTCCGCCTCCCGGGTTCACGCCATTCTCCTGCCTCAGCCTCCTGAGTAGCTGGGACTACAGGCGCCTGCCACCACACCTGCCCTGACTACTCCTTTCTAAACAGAGAATCTGGTCTCTCAGTGGAAACTAGAAGTGGAAGATCAAGAGGAGAGAATTTCCATGAGTCTTAACTCCACATAATGGAAAATTTCCTCCAAAAAATTCAAAGAGAGTGTTACTGGCTAGAGAATTTAATAGCTGTGCAACCCTCAAAAGGCAAATATGCAGACACTTTTCAAAATAAGGGGAAAAAAATCATGCCCTGCCTGGAGAATCCCTATTGCACTGAGCCTGGAGGAATAAGAAAGCAACAAATGAGCCCAACCTGTTTGCTCAGGCTTCTCCAGGAAGGGATCGGATTGGTGAAAACTATTCACAAAGAACAAGATCCTCGGGCAAATATTGCTTTTTGATACTTGTCCTTTTCTCTCTTTACGCGCATTCTCTGCCCAGTATTATAATCGGGAAAAAAGAAATTGCTTAGTTCTGAATGTTATGTTTTGGGGCAAGTCCACCTATAAAGTACATTTCTCAAATAAAAGGAGAGGCAGAATAAGGGGAGGAGAAACGAGAGAAGAAGAATAGAAAAACAGAAGCTGAATTTGAAGGGAGTGAAAAGAAAGAAAATGGAAAGAAAACAAGAAAAATAAAGGGCAGTATCATAAAAGGTAGAGAGCTGCTTTGAATATCCCTAATTTAGTTTACCTGAAACAAAGTTCAGTAGAAATAGAATGAGGAAAACTGCCAAAAAGAGGGGACGTTTTTGGTAAAAGATCATTACTGTAATAGTAATAATCATGTTGCTATTGTATTGTAATCCAATATATATGTAAAGTTCCTTTCTTCCACCGAAGGAAATTATGAGAAGAAACTGCACGTTGGTGACTGAGTTCATTCTCCTGGGACTGACCAGTCGCCGGGAATTACAAATTCTCCTCTTCACGCTGTTTCTGGCCATTTACATGGTCACGGTGGCAGGGAACCTTGGCATGATTGTCCTCATCCAGGCCAACGCCTGGCTCCACATGCCCATGTACTTTTTCCTGAGCCACTTATCCTTCGTGGATCTGTGCTTCTCTTCCAATGTGACTCCAAAGATGCTGGAGATTTTCCTTTCAGAGAAGAAAAGCATTTCCTATCCTGCCTGTCTTGTGCAGTGTTACCTTTTTATCGCCTTGGTCCATGTTGAGATCTACATCCTGGCTGTGATGGCCTTTGACCGGTACATGGCCATCTGCAACCCTCTGCTTTATGGCAGCAGAATGTCCAAGAGTGTGTGCTCCTTCCTCATCACGGTGCCTTATGTGTATGGAGCGCTCACTGGCCTGATGGAGACCATGTGGACCTACAACCTAGCCTTCTGTGGCCCCAATGAAATTAATCACTTCTACTGTGCGGACCCACCACTGATTAAGCTGGCTTGTTCTGACACCTACAACAAGGAGTTGTCAATGTTTATTGTGGCTGGCTGGAACCTTTCTTTTTCTCTCTTCATCATATGTATTTCCTACCTTTACATTTTCCCTGCTATTTTAAAGATTCGCTCTACAGAGGGCAGGCAAAAAGCTTTTTCTACCTGTGGCTCCCATCTGACAGCTGTCACTATATTCTATGCAACCCTTTTCTTCATGTATCTCAGACCCCCCTCAAAGGAATCTGTTGAACAGGGTAAAATGGTAGCTGTATTTTATACCACAGTAATCCCTATGCTGAACCTTATAATTTATAGCCTTAGAAATAAAAATGTAAAAGAAGCATTAATCAAAGAGCTGTCAATGAAGATATACTTTTCTTAAAAATCAGTATTCTTTTGGTTTCTAAAGCCCTTCCTAGACTTTTTTCTTTAGCTGAGAAATATAGTGCATCAATGGAGAACATTGCAGTTTTCAAAACTTTATTTATTTTTATTTTATTATTATATTTTGAGATGGAGTTTCTCTCTGTCTTAGGCTGGAGTGCAGTGGTGTGATCTCGGCTCACTGCAACCTTTGCCTCCCGGGTTCAAGCAATTCTCCTGCCTCAGCCTCCCGAGTAGCTGGGAACACAAGCGCACACCACCATGCCCGACTCATTTTTTGTATTTTAGTAGAGACAGGGTTTCACCATGCTGGCCAGGCTCGGCCTCCCAAAGTGCTGGGATTACACGCATGAAACACCGCGCCCAGTCTAAAAACTTTATTTTCTAAAATTCAAATACGTACAATTTTGTTCACAAAAGCTTTTATGTTTTAAGTTGTCATTCATCTTGTTCAGCAGTTATTTTAAGTTCTTTGTCTTCCGTGCACAGAATGGCTTTGTACCTCCATGCCCTTAGGTTTAGGTAAGATCATGTGGCTATTTCTGGAAGATGAGATTAAAATTCACATATGTCACTTCTCAGTTGAATACTTAATTGATTGTTAGAACATTTTTGAGTGGATCTGTTGTTTTTATTTTTTCCATGGTGACCAGCAAGACTTAATATAGTGGCTGCCCAGTCAGGAGACATGGAACACTGTTCTCATCCGACTCACAATGGCAATACAAAACGGCTGATAAATAACGTTTTCATAAGCTACTATGATATGTGGAGTTTGCTTGTTTCCCTAGCACAAAATAGCCTATTCTGATTGATGCCATATTAATTATACAAATTCACACAGGCTGAATTATATAACATAGAATGAGAACATCACAAACCTTGAAGAAATCACATTTGAGATTTTGTTTTGTGTTCTTGTAGTCATTTTTAATGCTTTTACATACACATGTGTGTTCAGTTAAAATTATTTATTATAATTACCATTTGAACCTACTCATGATTAATGTATGTAGTTTTAAATGTCAAATAATATTACAAGCCATATATAAACTCCTGTCTCACTTCTACCTTACCACTAACTCCCCATAGATAATACTTTCTTGTTATTTCCTTTGGAAATTAACCCATTTTAAATTATATGCTTGTATTCCTCTGTACTGATTTTTCAAATATGCACATAATTTATTGACATCTGTTTATTAAAGATAAGGTGCCATCATTCTTTCACCAATCACTTCATTCTTACCCTACAATGATCACTTCTTTCTCTTCATTGTCACAGTAGGATCACATTTGAATTTTTGGCTTAATCAGTATCTACTGTTAAAATTACTATGAATGTATCATTAATAATACCTGAAGTATACTATAATACTTTGAGCATCACTAACACTAGTATTAATTATTAATAATATGAATACTACTATGATTGTAATTCTCTTCTTGCACAGTTACTGGATTTTCATAAAGTTGACAATGGCCTCCAGTTTTGCTCTTCTTTTTGTATAGTAGCTACTTTTCCCCAAACTGTCACTAAACTGTAAAGCACCTTTATAGGGTCAAACACAATAGATGATCTATAGTTTCCATATTTTTTTCTCAGACGTTCTCTGTCCTCCCATTGGATTCTGCTCTGTTTGCAGAGCTGTTATTTGAAGATAATGATTCCAATCATTGGTTTAAGGCATTTCATTCATTCAACTTGATTACATGACAATATGCAACAAACTGGAGATTCAACAAAAATAAGACAGAAAAAAGTCTTAAAGAGAGTTTTATGGAACAGTTAATGAACTTTTCTGCTGTTATCATGAGTGGCACAAGGTCAGAGATAACTAGGTCCATGCATGTTTGTATTTTTCTGCAATGTCAGAATTTTCTTGATGCTATTTCAATCATAAAATCCATGAGCTACATGGGGTTCCCGAGGAGGCAATTCTCCTTAAAACTTCCTGTTCACTCAGTAGTCAGAGCCATGGGCAAACAGGCTCAAGTCATTCAACAAGTCAGTCAGTATTGCAGTCCATGAATTACAGTATATTTAATCAGTCTATAAATGTAATAGATTACACATTGTACAGCAAACAAAGTAACATTTATCATCAAGAATAAAGGGACTGGAAATGGGTTAAGGAACCAGTCCACTGAGAGTGACATGAACAAAAAGAATAGCCTACTCAGGCCCTGGTGGTCCATCAATAACCTTGTAAAGAAGAGTTTTCGTTGTGGGCAAAGCCTTCAGTGGCAAATGCAAGATGCTTATCTCAAGTGATAACAAGATGGTGTCTTTTAAGGTGGCTGTTTCAAGCTGCTGAAATCCTGCTCTTTTATGGACACAGAGTCCTCTAGTAAGAACTGATAGTGGAAGAGTGACTTTGTTATGTCCTTATCTGGTTGGATGCAGTCTTTCTTGATTAGGCAAAACATCTGGCCCTTGTTGGCATGATGCCTTTAAAAATGTAAGATGAAGTCATTTTCTAAGATGGAGTAACTTATATCAATGGGGCTCTATACTACGATTCAGCCCCAGGTTCCCTTCTACACTTTCCTTTACCCTTACCATTTCAGCCTTAGCTGAAGAGCTGGGTGCAGTGGCTCATGTTTGTAATCCCAGCACTTTGGGAGGCTGAGGTGGGTGAATCACCAGAGGTCAGGAGTTCGCCACTAGCCTGGCCAACATGGTAAAACCCTGTTTCTACTAAAAATACAAAAATTAGCTGAGCATGCTGGTGGACACCTGTAATCCCAGCTATTTGGGAGGCTGAGGCAGGAGCATTGCTTGGACCCAGGAGACAGAGGTTGCAGTGAGCCGAGACCGCACTGTTGCCCTCCAGCCTGGGCAACAAGAGTGAAATTCTATCTCAAGAAAATAGACTTAGCTGAAGAATTATCTCTTCCTGCAAGGTTTCTTTAACACATTCAGGATGTGTAGTGTCAACTGAGGAATGATGAGATTCATAAATTTAGAAAGGTGGACTTTCTCATAAAGGGTTGTAGCCTGTAGGGTGACCGTTCTGACAGGCTGTGAAGCATATCCTCCAGCTAGAAGTTGGAAAGAGACACTTCGACAGTATGAAGAGTAAGACAGGGATTTATGCTGAATGGGATGACCAAATATATTACACATATATGATAATACATATTCAACAGGCTATAGAAAAAACTATGAATATTCACAAAGAAGAGGCACAGGCATGAATAGTAGGCTAATATAAGCAACATGCATCCCATGTTCCCTTTGGAGTGGGGACTTAACATTTAAATGTGTCATGATTAGACTCTATGCACCAAAAGGTGAATCAGAAGACACCAAGACCCTCTGTGCACAGCCTCTGTTGACTGGCAAGAGCCACTAGGTTATTGGTGGTCTCTTATCAAGAAGGAATGCTGGTCAATTGCTGTGTTGAAACCGCAAAAAGAGAAGTCCAGTGTCAGGTGGTTTGCAGATATCAGTGGTGGTGCGAGTCTCACAAGGGCAGGTTTCTGTTTAACCCTTATTGTAGGAAGCCTAATGGTGTTTAGCAAGGGAGGGGAGATAACGAGGCATGTCTGATCTCCCATCTGTCATGGCAGGAACTCAGATTTTAAAGTTTTTCTGAGGTTTCCTTGACCAAGAGGCAGTCTGTTCAATTGATTCAGGGGTTAGGATTTTATTTGTATTTCTCATTAGGTACCACATGATGATTCACCCACAGATTCACAATTATATTATTGCATTCATAACATGGTTCTATAATTATATGCATGTAAATCTGTTCCTTCCACTATTTTAGCAAGTTCTCAAAGGAAAGGACCACATCTTTTTGTTTTTATATTTTTACCACCTTAAGATAGTGTTCTATAAAGGGAGGATGCCCATTTTTTTTTTGAAACTGTGAGAACAATCCCTTCCACTTTCTACCTTTGTCTGTAATTATGGCCAATTACAGATTTCTCTCCATGATACTCGCTTCTCCCATCCTAACATATATTCAAGGCAGAACAATAGATCATTTAGTTTAAGAAAACCATGTTCAAGTTCTTTATCATAAATGGCCCACTGAAAGCCCAGCAACGTGAATCATAACTGAGCAAGAATTGGAGAAAGTAATTTCATTGGCAGCAGACAGGAAAGATCACATACTACATCCTATTCTTCATAGCAGAGAGACAGATAACAATAAATGCTGAACTACAGTAAAAGATGTTAAGGGAAATATTTGTGAGGAATAAATCTTTGTAGCAGTGTATTTTCCTTGATATGCAATCATAATTATCCATAGCATTTGGGAAACAACTGACAATTTTTATCACCTTTATAAATGTTAGTTTTGATCTTTATAGCAAGGTTATAATGGAAAAATCAACCACTGTGTAATAAAATTATTTTAAAATGAACAGAATTACACTAGGCTGTCTGGGACAGAGGCAAGGGAAGGGCTGAGTCATGATTTAAGGTGCAGGAAACAAAAGGGACCTCATTGTTGCTCAGACAGAAAAGAGGTTTGGTGGGAATCAGACAACAGGTATATATTGAGACAACGAAATATCCAATCCTTGAAAAAGTACATTCTTGTGCATCACTTTTTCATAGCCAACCGTCCTAAGATTTATGCCATGTGATAAGCTGATGATAAAACATTCTCTTCAAGTTGAAACAGAATACAGTTGTGGAAAAATATTTGGCTTTGTAATTATTCAGAACTGAGCCTGAATCCTAGTTTTATTACTATTTTGTTAGCTGGGTAAACTTAGAGAAGTTCCCTCTCCATATCAGTTTATTCAAATGCAAAACCCCATTTCATGGAGTTATTGTGAATATCAAATATTATTTTTAATATACATTTTCCTCAATTGCATTTTGAGGCAAGTATGCTGAGTTCCAGTGTGGACTCAATTTCATGAAAGTTTTTTAACATGGGAAACATGATCAAAACAATAAGTTAAATATGTTAGTTATTCATTTATTTAACATATGATTATTGTCCCTGTCAGTCACTTTCATCATTGGCAGTCACCAGTCTCTTCTACCTGTTTCATTGTTTCTTCATCAGTCTCTTCCTGTTGTATTGTTTCATCTATCTGTTTCTAAAACATTTCATGTTTTTTCCAGAAATTATTTGTACCTAGTATTATTTGTTTACATATCTTAGGCATCCCATCAAAATGCAAATCCCTTTGTTGAAGAAATCCTTTAAAAATATTTTTATTATTCAGATTAAATAGTATTGAAGTTTGTACTTAGTACATATTCTTGTGTGAACTTGATAAAGGACAAACAATGGAGGAAATATGGTAGTGCTCTTGAGATGGGAAGGACAATTACCTGAATTCAGGTTTCATGAGAAGTTAAGTGTCCTCAGACTATTTTAAATTTGTTTTTCAGTATTGTATAAAGTGCTACCCTCGTTGGATAACAGGTGATTGCTTTGAGCTCTACTGAAGTATAAAATATAGATTTTTTTCTAACATCTTGATTCAAGATAAAATAGTACAACCAATTAGTATTTCCCTTGAGAATGTTCTCCACTGTGATTTCACTTCTAATTACCTCTTCTTACACATTTGGGGATTCTCCTGAGATATATGCTGATGCCAGTGATGTGGGTATATATCTTCCAGCACTGGCCAGAATTTGACCTTTGGTGTCATGAAAAAGACACCCTTATTTTCACAGGTAAGAAAGGAAATGTTTTTGCATATTATTTTTCAGTATCTAATAATGTCTGTATTCACTTTGTTAAATTGTGTACATTTTAGACAGCAATGTGTTTAAATAGGTAGTTTTGAGGCAAATTTGCACAGACAATGCATTTTCCATGAAAGAAAATCTGTAGGGAGCTTACTTAGCTTCATCTTTCACTTTTTTGATATTACCAGTGTTATTGAAACATCCTGGTGGAATTTCATAGTATGGCTATTTCAGCAGATGTTTTCACTGTTATTAGTTTCAAGTAATATTATTTTTGTGTTTTCCATTTGCCTAATGTCTTGGTGCCTACTGTCACCAATCGCCACAAGAAAAAGGCAAGTTGAAAATAATTTAAGTCTACATAGCTTAATTAATCACATAAAATTTTTCTGACGTCTAAGTAAAATAAATGCTCAAACAGGCTTTTTATTGTGACCATTAAACATGTGTGAAAGTGGTCCATTAGCTTCAGTATGTGGAGCTAACGAACTTGGGTGAGTAGATCTTAAGTTCTCTTGGGTTCTCTTATTTTATAAGATTCTGGGTTCTTTTCCAATGCCCTATTTTTGTCTAGAGACCTAGTTTTTTTACAAGCAATACTTGTGCCTCAGTGAGACTTTAGTTTTCAGAATATTATTTTACTTTTTTCAACAAAATACTTGAAACATAAATCAGCCTGATTATAATCAAATCAGTCTGATTATAATCAAATCAGTCTGATTCTAATCAAATAACTAACTTGTGTCAAGGACCTTAAACAGTAAGTTGATGAATGAAATTCTCATACCTATTTTTCTAGGCTGCACAAGTAGTCACAGAATCATTCTCGGGTCATTATCAAATTCATCATCATCAAAGTTATTGACTGCATTTGAATGTTTGTTTTGAGTGTTTCTTGCCTCTCAGCAGCAGTGGACAGATTTCTCATGGGCTCTATATCTGTATATTAGCTGTCTCTGATTGCCATTGTCCCGCAATGCTAGAATTAAAATATGGTTAACGATAATGGTCTCCACTAAAAGTGCATGTCCAGATGACCAGTGAAACCTGAGCAAATTTGCAAAGCTCCTTAGAGACTAAGTCAGGACTAAAACCAAGACCCTGGATTGAAGAAGTTGCTCACCACCAGAGAGTTAAAAGAAGCCCTTGTGCCTTCCTTCTTGCCAATTAAGTTACAATTCATAGGCATTATTCTAGATTCTTGGCCCAGATTTTTCATATTCTTTACAGTTTCGGCACTGATACCTCGGCTGGCTCGCTTTCTTCTTCCTCATCCATCTCTTATCTTTGTTAGAGTGCTTGTCACTATCATCTGTAACTCAAAGACAACTCTAACTCAAAGTCCTCATTTATTCATATTTGTTTCCTGGGACAGGATAAGGAGGCAATAATATTAGATAAATTGAATTTTAACATTTTGGAAACAATTTCTGTCATTACCCAACCAGTCAATGGAACCAAAGGAAGAGATAGACCTTTCTGGGAAAGTAAAATATTACAGAAGGAGAGCACCGTTCTGAGAATTATAATATATGATTTGTCTTCTGATTCTTCTGCTTATGAGTTGTAAGCTGGGACCAGAATGTCAAATTTTCTGAGCCTGGTTACTCACCTAACTAAATTTATTTCTACTATATTGTCCACTGCTCTATTTCTAGCATCCAGCACCATGTCTGGAACTTGAAAAATGCTCAATAATTATCTGCTATAAGCACGCATGCATACACAAATGCATGGCTGACAACATATTACAAAGTAAATTAGTGTTTTTTTAACTATAAAATTTCACTTTAATAAGAGTTTAGCAATTGTTGTAAGATCTCATACAATTTAATAGAAAATATGTGTCTGATATTCTTAGATTAGGTGAAAAATAAAGTGCTACTCGTATTGACTTCCTGAGACTGCTCAGAAGAGATAAGTTTTATCAGCTTCTGACAAGTTCTCCACTAATGACATTTGCTCATGTCTGAATTGCCCCATGGAAAAAAATTAGATGTAAATTTCATTTTACGCAATTGTTAGTATACTGAAATTGTTTTTAACCAAAATTTGGAGACAGATTAACACATATGATATTTTAACTTAATTTGATATTTTATATATTTAAGATAATTTGTGATAAATTCAGTAAATGCATAATGTCTATATAAATTGTAAGCTACAAAATATAATGAATACACATTAAACCACTCCCTAGAATTATAAGTAATTTCTGTGCATTGTTTAAAGTAAATGCACAATTTAATAATTTTCCCATTTAAATAATCTATAATCCATTAAGCCAATAGTAAATACTAAAATAGTCCCTCTTTCCAACCCTGATCTGAAATGTCATCTTTGTTATATGCCACATCACCTATATACATGTAGCTGTTCCTGGACTTTCTATTCTGGAACATTAGTTAAAGTGTATATTTTTTTCCAATTTCATGTCAATAACACACTGTCCTGAATACTGGTTTTACAGCAAATCTTGATATCTAATAAGTAACTCTGCTTATTGCCCTGAGAGATATTGAGTCTTACGGTTATTTTATACTTCCGTATAAATATTAGAATCAGCTATTCCACAAGAATTGTGTTTGAATTTTGATTGGAATTTATTTGACTCTATGGGTCACTTAGGAAAGACTGACCTTTTTATGCTATTGAATCCTTCCCTTAGTGAACAAAGAATCTCTCTCCATTTTTAGTTCTTTCTTTCTCTCTCTTTTCTTTCCTTTCCTTTCCTTTCCTTTCTTTCCTTTCCTTTCCTTTCTTTCTTTCTTCTTTCTTTTTCTTTCTTTCTTTCTTTCTTCCTTCCTTCCTTCCTTCCTTCCTTCCTTCCTTCCTTTCTTTGTTTCTGAGACGAACTCTCGCCTCTCTTTGCCACCCAGGCTGGAGTGCAGTGGCATGATCTCAGTGCACTACAACCTCTGCCTCCTGTGTTCAAGTGATTCTCCTGCCTCAGTCTCCTGAGTAGCTGGGGTTACAGGTGCACACCTCCATACCTGGCTGATTTGTTTTATTTTTAGTAGAGACAGGGTTTCACCATGTTGGCCAGGCTGGTCTCGAACTCATGACCAGAAGTGATCAACCCGTCTTGGCCTCCCAAAATGCTGGGATTATAGGCATAAGCCACCACATCCAGCCCATTTTTAAGGCTTTTTAATGTTGTGTGGCAATGGCATCAAAGTGATCACATAATTTATTCTGGGTATATTAGCAGGGAGTAAGTATAGATTGAGAACCTGAAAACATTTTTTTAATCATCTTAGGGTGATTGAGTTAATTCCTTTTATCCTAATGGCTAAACTACACATCAGGGTTAACATAATGGAGGAATAGGAAATTCTTTGATATAGGACTTCTTTATACAGAGATATAAAAGAGCATGTGAGCCAAGCAGGGGACTATAATGTTGGTTCTATGCAGCATGAATGTTGTAAAATAGCAAGAAATTAAAATATAGGAACAAATTAAAACATAGATTGATACCTCAAAGATAATACATATGAAATTTCATATAGAATTGAGATATTGATGAAGGAGCATAAATACACTTGTTTAACCCAACAGACAGACAGGCTAAATTGGGATGTGCAAATTGGAAAAAATGCTTATAAACACGTGATATCAATGTTTAAGACTCAAACGAAAGGCTTTATTTACATAAGTTCCCAAAAACTAACTTATAAACAAAGAACCAATATACATATCACAATGAAAAGCACTACTACTAAAAACAACAAAATATAAAAATACACCGAGACAGTAAGTTGAACTCGGTGAGATATATAGTATATTAGCAGATCACCGAATGGGGATGTATGAGATAAGCATCTCAGTGGGATTAGTCACTTCATCTCTCTAGGATTCAGTCTCTCAGTCTTCAGAATGAAGAGCTTTGCCTGCATTATCCTCAAAGTCCTTTCTACCTCTCCATGTAGCTTTGTATGTATATGTAAGCATGTCATTAGAAGTTCTAAGCATTTCAAAATCTCTATTACAATTTAATCTTTAACATATAAGTTATCTAGATTTTTAAAAGAAATTTCCCACAGCATAAGGATACTTTCGTTTATAATTTTGCATTAAGCCTCCAACTTAATTGCACACTGTGATTACAAATTCAGCCTCAGTGGAAACCACTTGTTGCAAATGTTTAGACTTGCTTCATAGTATAACTGTTCATCTTCAGTTACAGAACTGCTACTGAGATAACATAACTAAAGCCTTTTGGCTCTTTTTATACAAAGCATGATATTTAACTAGGGTTTTAGTGATTTTTAAAAAGTTTCTCTTTCTCCTTAGATATTCAGACCAATGCGTCTCATATGAGATGAAGAAATGTCCAGAAGAAACTATACTGAACTGACAGAATTTGTTCTCTTGGGTCTAACAAGCCGTCCAGAGCTGCGAGTTGCTTTCTTGGCACTGTTCCTTTTTGTCTACATAGCCACTGTGGTAGGAAACTTGGGGATGATTATTTTAATCAAAGTTGATTCTCGACTTCACACTCCCATGTAATTTTTTCTCTCCAGTTTGTCCATTCTAGATCTGTGTTTCTCCACAAATTTCACTCCCAAAATGCTAGAAAATTTCTTATCAGAGAAGAAGACCATTTCCTATGCAGGTTGTTTGATGCAGTGCTATGTTGTCATTGCTGTGGTCCTTGCAGAGCACTGCATGTTGGCAGTCATGGCATATGACCGCTATATGGCCATCTGTAATCCATTGCTCTACAGTAGCAAAATGTCCCAAGGTGTTTGTGTCCACCTGGTCATTGTCCCTTATGTCTATGGCTTTCTTCTCAGTGTGATGGAAACCTTAAGGACCTACAACCTCTCCTTCTGTGGAACAAATGAAATCAACCATTTCTACTGTGCTGATCCTCCTCTTATCAAACTGGCATGCTCTGACACGTACAGCAAGGAGCTGTCCATGTACATAGTAGCCGGCTACAGCAACGTCCAGTCTCTTCTGATCATTCTCACATCCTACATGTTCATCCTTGTCGCTATCCTCAGAAGCCATTCTGCAGAGGGAAGGAAAAAAGCTTTTTCCACATGTGGTTCCCACCTGACAGTTGTCACAATCTTCTATGGAACCCTCTTCTGCATGCATTTGAGACGTCCCACAGACGAGTCCGTGGAGCAGGGGAAAATGGTGGCTGTGTTTTACACCACAGTGATACTCATGCTGAACTCCATGATCTATGGCCTCAGGAACAAGGATGTGAAAGAGGCGTTGAAAAAAGCAATAGGAAAACAAACATTGGGAAAATAAAAATGCTAAGCTATCATTAAAAATTTGTGAAGTAATGAGATATAATATCATTGGGTTAGATGTCACATTTTAGGCTACATTTGCACAATTCATTTCTAATTTTCTGTTAGGTAGCTGACTGAGTTAAGCTTCCTGAAACTAGCGGGTTGAAACGGGAAGAGTAGAAGATTCCATTTAGGCTTGCACGGTGGCTCACGCCTGCAATTCCCAGCACTTTGGGAAACTGAGGTGGGTGGACCACGAGGTCAAGAGATCGAGACCATCCTAGTCAACATAATAAAAATACAAAAATTAGCCAGGTATGGTGGTGGTTGCCTGTAATCCCGGCTACTTGGGAGGCTGACGCAGGAGAATCACTTGAACCCAGGAGGCGGAGCTTGCAGTGAGTCGAGATAGTGCCACTGCACTCCAGCCTAGCAACAGAGCAAGATGCTGTCCCCCCACCCAAAAATAGATGCCATTTAGGCAATTTTCTCATTCCTGCTTGTAACAGCAAGTGTCACTTCTTGCAAAATATAGTGGTTTAAACCAAACTGATTTTTTGCTTTATTTTGTTTTGATAACCGTCATTCCACTAAAGTTATTTTGTAAATCATGATGTTTAGGTTTAGTTGTATTTAAATATCAACATGAGCAGGGAGACTCACCCCAGTGCAAGTAAATTACTATATTCTTACTTTCCTTCCATTTCACTTATCATCATACTGTGAAGGATTCTAATATGGCCTCAGCCAAATTACAATATTCCTTAATCTTTAGAGGTTGTTAGAGAAGGGTCAACACTGCTGACGTTAAATCAACAATCAGCAAGTGTATGCTAAAATTTTCTTATTTAGTTTCTCCATTGATCAACATTATATCTTACAATGTCTTTTTTTTTTTTGAGATGGGTGGGGTCTCCCTCTGTCACCCAGGCTGGAGTGCAGTGATGCGATCTCGGCTCACTGCAGCCTCCACCTGCCGGGCTCAAGCAATCCTTCCCCCTCAGCCTCCCAAGTAGCTGAGACCACAGGAGCATGCCACCACACCTGGCAAATTTTTGTGTATTTTTGGTAGAGGCAGGATTTCAACACATTGCCCAGGCTGCTCTTGAACTTCAGAGCTCAAGCAATCTGACTGCTTCTGCCTCAAAAAGTGGTTGGGATTACAGGCATGAGCCACCATACCTGGCCATCTTAAAATGTCTTAGCAGCAAAGGCAAATACACCATTATAATCTGTGTCAGAAGAGGGGACTTGTGGTCTTCATGGACCATTGTCATAAGGAAATTTCTCATAAGTGTGAAGCCATGGTGTCAAAAAATTCCAATCCAGCCAGGCACAGTGGCTCATGCCTGTAATCCCAGCACTTTAGGAGGCTAAGGTGGAAGGATCATTTGAGCTCAGGAGTTCGAGGTTGGAATGAGGTGTGACTATGCCACTCAGCCACTCACTTCAGCCTGAGCAACAGAGCAAGACCCTGTCTCTGAAAAAATAAAATAAAATAAAATAAAATCCAAGTATCAGGAAAGAGTTGGAATCAGATTACTTGGCTGTTTACCCAGCCATCTAAAGATTCTTCTCACCCTCATGGATGATTTGAGGACCTAGAACTCTCCTTCTGTGTTGCTAATGAAAGCACATTATCCAACCATCTAAAAATTGGAAACAGACACAAAACTGTTAGGGGTCACAAGCTGAATTACTGCATAGCAAGAGAAGCAATACCTAGCAAAGATGTGCCAAAGATGCTAAGTACTGACCAAGCCTGATGGTGTTTCTTCTCACATCTAACCCTGCTTTAAAAGTTAAAGGAATGGATAAGGCAGTAATATAAATACAATGACTATCATCATTTTGTTATATTGCTATTAACCAATAATATCTAACCATTAGTTCAATAAAGACATCTTTGGATTTAAAATAATTTTGCCAGTAGAGGTACAATTTATCGTGGTAATTTTTATGCTTAGGAGAAAAGGGAATATGATCTTCAGAGACCTGTGAGCATTTATTAAAATCTTATTAACTGATAGATGGCCCACACCGTCTTGTGTTCTAGACCATAATTCTATTGAGTCAATGTTAATGTTCCATGATCACAAATAACTGAAAGAAAATTAAACTGTTTTACCTTCAACACACTCACACACACTTTTATGTGTGTGTGTGTGTGTGTGTGTTAAATTCTCCAATTCTCTGTGGATATCAACTTTTCCTACAATTCAATTCAGTTCTGACACTATCTACCTGGCACTTGCCTCAGATCACACAGGCTCAGCCCCACAACACTGCTTTACCTCCCATTCCTTAGCCACTTCAGACACTGATGGCAAATCTGTGATCCAGTTTTGCAAGATAGCTCCAAAATGCTCTATGTTATTTGAAGAAAAAATAGAGTATAAAATTGGAAAAAAAAATTGCCAGGCAGGGTGGCTCATGCCTATAATCCCAGCACTTTGGGAGGTAGAGGCAGGAGGATCACTGAATCCAGGAGTTTGAGATCAGCCTGTGCAATATAGTGAGATATTGTCTGCACAAAAACAAACAAACAAATGCAACAAAACTAGTCAGGAGTGATGGCACATGTCTGTAGTTGCAGCTACTTGGGAGGCTGGGGTGGGAGAATTCCTTGAGACTGAGAGATTGAGGCCACAGTGAACCTGTATTGTGCCTCTGCACTTCCGCCTGGGAAACAGAGAGACCCCATCCCCAAAATAAAACAATAAAACATTAATAAAATTAGGGAAAAATTAAGAGGACATGATCATCACGTCCTTTGAAAAGATGTCAATTTCATATGCAAATTTGAAAGTCAGGATTATTTGAGGTAGAAGGCCATACTTCTTCATACTTCAAAGACTATTTGAAAATTTGAGGATTTCAATAACTTACAATAGAGTGGGGGTAGGAAGGAGTAGCCTAGAACCAAGTGATAAGTGTGGTGCTGTCAGAGTCCAGGAACAAAACTTTATGTTGGGTTGATTATAAAGCAACATAATCCCAGATCTACTTAACTCTTCAACTATAATATAATAAATGTATTTTTTTCATTTATCCATTCACATGTTTAATGTCTATCATGTGGTTGATATTGTGTGATATTCTTGGAGAACAAACAAAAATATATTCCCTGACTGATACTGCTACCTGATGGTATGAGAAGTAGGCAGAGACCAATCAAAATTTACAAAAATGTTTAATTTTAAAATGAGCTACTGAGGCTTAGAAAGGTTGGATCAGTTTGAAGATGTCCCAGAGGAGAAGGAAAAACTGCCCACCTTCCTGGGCTTTTTAGACAAAGAGACTAATAAAGGCTCATGTAAATGACAGTTCCAAATTGAAGAGTAAAGTATTAGTTTTCTTCAGCTGCCATAACAAAGTAAACACTGAATGGCTTAAGATAACAACAATGTGTTCTTGCACAGATCTGGAGCTAGAAACCCCAAATCAGGGTTTCCACAAGACCATCCTCCTTTCTGAACTCTAGAGGAGAATCTTGTTTCTTCTTTTTGCTTCTGGTAACCCCAGGCATTTCTTGGCTTGTGGCAACATAATAACAATCTCTGCCTCCATCTTCACGTGGCTGTGTGCTATGGTTTCAATGTTGACTCCAAATCTCATGTTGAAATTTAATTTTCATTGTGATGGTGTTAAGAGGTATGACCATTAAGAAGTGATTCAATCAGGAAGGCAAAAAGAGTCAAACACCGTAAAATATTTGAAACAATTTATTCTGAGCCAATTATGAATGACTGTGGCCTGTGACACAGCCCTCAGGAGGACTTGAGAACTTGTGTTCAAGGTGGTCAGGGTGCAGCTTGGTTTTAACAATTTAGGAAAACATGAGACCTCAATTAATTTATTAATATCATTGTTTAATTTTAGTGATATACAATATAATCTCAAATTTCTAAAATATTTTGCAGATAAAATCCTACAAATGTCAAACCACAAAACCTTATAAATGTATATATCATTAAAATTAATAAATTAAAAATGTCTGAGTTGCCCTGGACCCTGAGACAAGATGCTGCATCTTGGAGTACGTGCTAGAGGCATGGGATGAGTTTGGTGGGTCAGTGTGGTCTGTGTATATCTCTGGGTGTGTGAGGGGTAAGTCCCAAGGTAAGCAAGTAGGATGGGAAATATTATGCACCTTACTGGACTTTCTACAGTATCTAGCAAAATACTTAATATTATGTAATCATCAAAAATGCAATAATGTTTAAGACACTGTGTCTGGTTTCAAGCTATTCATAGTCTAGCATTATGAAACATGCACTTAAAATGAACTGTAATAAAATGTGGTAGCTACAATATGAGCAATATGAGCTAAGGGCTGTCAAAATGCAGGAGTAGAGATTATTAATTTTACATGGGAGCCTCCAGGAAGTGTTTAAGAGAAGACAACATTTGCATGATTCAAGTAAGCAACCCTTGAGTTAAGTTACCTTCTTTCTATCTTGGAGAGGACTTTAATTAGGACTGGAATAAGGCAAGCTTACTTTCTTTCTATATGGAATGAGTCTTATCTATATTTCTGTGTGCATGTAATGTGTATGTAAAAAATGTTGACTTTCCCCAGCTTATCAGTCACTGATAAGCGTATTTACATCATAAAACCCAGAGAAACCACATGAGGCTATTTAATATCTTGTAGAGACTGACCTTAAAAATTAAACCTAACACAATATTACTACAGATCAAAATTATTTAATTTGCAACTGAAAAGCAGTCTGTGTTCAGAGAACTGCAGGTTACCCTTTATAATGTGAGGCCCGTGACCTCTGTGGATAGTAAACTCTTGGCAATAGATAGCACAATTATTCTCTTATGCCAACAATTATTCTCTCTAGATGCACTCAGACCTCTAACTTTCACAGTCTTAACCAAGGTTCTTCAACGTTAAACTACAACTTCATTTTGTGTCTGAAACATCTCAACATTATTCTGAGAATTACTTAGGAATACTTAGATGTGTACCTCTCCTATCTATTTAGTCATCTATTGAAAACTCAATCACTTTAACCATTTTCGTCAGTTAACAAATATTTTGTGAACACCTACCATGTGCCAAATACTGTTATAAATACTGGGGCAGGGCTGGGGCAATTCAGTCAATGGCCCTTTTATCAAAATTATATTACCATGGAGAAGTAAAAATGTATGTGTAGAGAAACCAGCAATTTTCTCCAATACTTCATAAGTGAGAATCAACATTTTTTTTGTGGGAATGTAAACATGGCTGGTGTTAATGCAGTGCAGTGGGGAGGCCAGAAGAGGGAACAAGTTTGAGCTGTGGGAGAAAATTTTCAGGCACCCAAGTAAAGTGACAAGTGCACATGACACTGAAGCAATCCACAATTTTTTGCTATACAAAAAACAGATTTGTGTTCCCTTAAGTCCACAAAGACCATAATAGAATGCATCATGTACACCAGTCATGTAACGAAAATGAGAGTCTTTTAGGATTAGGAAATAAGAAATTTGGTCTCTTTTCCTGTAATGGTTACTTGTTGGACAAAAGGATGAGATGGTTAATGGTACAAATTCTGGAATCAGGAGTCTGGTTCATTGAAAGTGTGACATTGACCAAATCACTGAACCTCTGAAAGACTCAGTTTCTGGTCTATAAAATGAGAATAATAATAATTGCCTCAGGGTTGAGTTACAATAAATTAGCACAGTATCTGGTGTGTATTACTTCAAAAATGCATTATTGTTGCTATTATTATTACTACTACTTGGAGTAATATTTTTGTTATTTATAAAATGAGGGAATTGAAGAAAATGTATTTTTTCTGCTTTGATATGCTATATTTTTAATTAGAGGGAATAATACTTGACTTATCTTCCCTGCAAAACCTAGCGGCAGAGAATGTGAAGTATAGAGCATGAACTTGATATATACAGTTTGGGTAACCCCATAAACAGGTTTAGTGTGATACAAATCGCCCCCGACATTTTACTTGATTCTAGAACCCATTCGAAATAACTGGAGTTTGGGGAAAAATAAAATTGTAGAAAACTCTAATGAAAAAAACCCACACACTCAACAGCTGGCTTTCTCTCTAGAGATTCATTTCCCATGGGGCCATTTCTACGGGAAAAAATAAAATAAATCTTAATTGCTCCTTGCTTTCTAAGGCAAGCAGTTAAGGGAGGCTTCCACTGTGGACTTTTCCAAGTTTCCCTTTCATCAGGTTGAAAGTGTTTACCATTCCCATATATAGCATGCGCTTTTCAACTCTGCAACCACATTGGGAATATTTCTCATCATTCTCAGGTTGGTGAAAAATGTATCTATCTGGAATTGTCAGATGGAGCTTGCATTGGAGATTTTATTTTCTTTTACGATTTATAGAAATGCATTCATGATTTTATCTGTTATGTATGTGTTGAGATACACAAAAGAGAGATACATTTTCAATAGGATTATATTATTTGATAATTACAAGTGAATAATGGAGTGTATCTGATAATTGTTTTCATATTTATTATGTGTTAATACTTAATATATCTTTTCATATTCACAAACACACAAAGAAATGGATATTATCATTAAGTCCTACTGAGGAACATAAAAAGTAAAAGCAAAACAAAACAAGAATAAAACATGTCCAGTTTTATAAAATAAATCATAGAGCCTGGATCCAACCAAGCTCTGATGATAGAAACAGAACACTTTAACTAGGATACTTAATATTGCTTCATACCTGATCTGGAAAAGAATCCATATTTATGGGCATTTTAATTTGAAATAAAGTAATTCAATAAGGGAAGGTCATGTGTGTATTTTTAAATTTAGGTGGTGAGGAAATTCTCTAAATACTCTTGAGGTCCCCTAATCTCTATTTCTTTGTACACTTCGCACCCCCTAGGATGAAATCTAACCCCTAGTTTCCTGTAATTTTACTATTGCTATTTATCACCTGGATAACCGTCACTCAGGGCTCTTGGTATTTAGCTTGAGGGGAGTACTAACAATGCCATCTTCTACATCCTTGTTTGTGCTGAATCACCCGTCACTACAAAATGAGATATGACTTTCCAAATAAGAATCCCTCTATTGCCAGCAAGAACATTTCAGGCAGCCACAGACATAAACTGTTGAACCAGAAATCTGGAGTTATCTGTTGACATGTCTGTAATCTCCGTTTGGATATAAATCTAAGGATCTTAGAGATTTTAACAACTCTGTAACAGATTTTACAGTCTATATATAAATATATTCTAAGGCAGTATACACAGTTTTTAGAACTTTAACTATTATTCATTTTTAAAAATGTACCCACTAATTAATCCTTCAAATTTTTATTAATTAGACCAAACCTCTGGGGCCATGTAGAATGCAATCTGTTTCAATTAGTAATTTTCTCCTCTAGTCATAGAAAAATGTTCTTTCCAAGTTTGTGGTTGAAAAGTTTTGGATTATTACTATGGATAAATGTTCACTTATTTTCACTATCCATTGTGATTTACCTTCCTGACTGCTAATTTTCTGGGTAACTGCTAACCAGTAATAATATGGATAAATTTCATCAAATTGTGATTGAATACAGTTTAACATTGCAGATTACAAGAAGGGTCTTGGGAATAATTGTTTGCTCTAGAGATAACATATAGCCATTAGAAGGTTTGACACAATCGCATCTCCAACAAATGTATTTCCTGCTGAAAGGCTATCTCAAGATTCTTATTAGATAGATTTGCACTCTGTTCTGCAGAATGTGAATGCTCATTGACAAAATATCCAATTAATGGAATTTCTCATACATATATGAGAGAAATATACATAAGCTTTATGTATGTTTATATACATATGTGTGTGTATATATATACATATGTATATACATAAATAGAGGTGTGTGTGCGTGTGAGTGTAAATTTCTATGTTAAATGAATGATGTGTACAGTAAATAACTTTACTAGGTAGATTGTGAATCACTAAGAGATTTGACAGGACACAAAGATGTCCCATTTGATGGAGAAAAATTTGTGGATTATTCTCCATTATATCTAGTAAGATCATGCCAAGCACTAATGTTTTCTTAGAAATATAATTTGAGAAGCATTTTCTAGAAGAAGTTTCCTATATGATACATCTTATATTTGAAAATAAATTTGCAAAATATACAAGAAACCTTCCTAGAATTCCACTGAACCCTCAAAGAAGAATAAATCACTTCCTAAATTTCTGTCCCTATTATACCTCTATGAGAATACATTCAAGTTTTAAAAAGTATTTGTTTACATTAGTATCTTCATAAATACTGACATTAATCTGTATGTTTTACCTATTTTTGAATCTCTAGAACACAGCAGTATATGATATCTAGTGGATTATAATTTCATGTTAGAGTTGGGAGTCCATATCCAGGAAATGTTTATATAGTGTGAACATGGACCAATAATTCACCCTTTAACTTGACTTTGATGGCTACTATCATCTTTTTTTTGTTCTTCAGTTGAAAATAATGCAAATATAAGATTAGATTAAAAACATTTTTATAACATTTTAGGCTGATGAATTATTTCATCATATGATTTTTTTCTCTAATCATTGAGAATATGCTTACAATGAAAAAGAGATTAGGTAAAAATGTACACTTTTTAAGTTCTATTACGAAAATAACTATAATCCATTGTAATTATCTTTAAAATATAAAACTCCAAACATGCCATCATTGGAAATGAGGGATATTTAAGAAGTAATGAAATAATCTTGGAAATATGACTACTCACATTACTTACTACCAGTGTATTTCAGTCACTAAACTTTGTATAATTGTTATATAATAGGGACTGTCTACATTTATTCATCACAGAGCCTGTTACATAACAGGCACTGAGAAAAGATCTGTGAAAAGAATGCAAAGTGTGCTAATAGATATTGTATAAAGGGAGCATCTGAAGGTATAAATTAATAAATAAATATTCTAATATTTCCTTTATTTTATTTTAGTTATCAAAAAGTTTTGTAACTGATATTGACTTAGAATTCAGAAAATGCTCAATTTCACCGATGTGACAGAGTTCATTCTTTTGGGGCTAACGAGCCGTCGAGAATGGCAAGTTCTCTTCTTCATCATCTTTCTTGTGGTCTACATCATCACCATGGTGGGCAATATCGGCATGATGGTGTTAATCAAGGTCAGTCCTCAGCTTAACAACCCCATGTACTTTTTCCTCAGTCACTTGTCATTTGTTGATGTGTGGTTTTCTTCCAATGTCACCCCTAAAATGTTGGAAAACCTGTTATCAGATAAAAAAACAATTACTTATGCTGGTTGTTTAGTACAGTGTTTCTTCTTCATTGCTCTTGTCCATGTGGAAATTTTTATTCTTGCTGCGATGGCCTTTGATAGATACATGGCAATTGGGAATCCTCTGCTTTATGGCAGTAAAATGTCAAGGGTTGTCTGTATTCGACTGATTACTTTCCCTTACATTTATGGTTTTCTGACGAGTCTGGCAGCAACATTATGGACTTACGGCTTGTACTTCTGTGGAAAAATTGAGATCAACCATTTCTACTGTGCAGATCCACCTCTCATCAAAATGGCCTGTGCTGGGACCTTTGTAAAAGAATATACAATGATCATACTTGCCGGCATTAACTTCACATATTCCCTGACTGTAATTATCATCTCTTACTTATTCATCCTCATTGCCATTCTGCGAATGCGCTCAGCAGAAGGAAGGCAGAAGGCCTTTTCCACATGTGGGTCCCATCTGACAGCTGTCATTATATTCTATGGTACTCTGATCTTCATGTATCTCAGACGTCCCACAGAGGAGTCTGTGGAGCAGGGGAAGATGGTGGCTGTGTTCTATACCACAGTGATCCCCATGTTGAATCCCATGATCTACAGTCTGAGGAACAAGGATGTGAAAAAGGCCATGATGAAAGTGATCAGCAGATCATGTTAAACAAAATAAAATCAAATTTGATTTAATTTTATCTTCTATTATTTGTTTGGAAAAAGTTTATTACCCAGTACCTAGGAACATTAAGATAAAGATATTCTGTGGGTTGAAAAGAAAAATAAAAGTGGTACAAATTGAGAAAATATAAGGAGGAATGATTCATTTCTGTTGATGTGAGTATGGAGATTAATTACATACAAATAAGTTAATTGAAACTGTGATGTGTGCCAAAGTTCATAGGTGTACTAAGGGAAATTGCTCAAATAGCTGCAACCAAAAGACGTTTTCTTATTGAAAAGTGCAGGTGCATGAATTTAAGAAATATTTATTTGCCCACTTAAAAACAAATGTGGGGCAGAAAAAAAAAACCCATGATATTTAATTTGGTTTTCCAACATGAAGACATAAAATATTGGTCTCTCTAATTGTTATGAGATTATTTATTGTTTAATGCGTCTTTCATTATGTTGGGTAGGGTCTGTTCAGAGACTGCTACTTTGAAAATAGCAATACTATTGTATTTCATGATTTTTAAATTTTTGGTGTTTCTTAAGAAACACAACATGGTAAGTGTCTCTGTTTCACAGACCCCAGGAACTGCTGTGTTTCTACTCTATGATTGCCAGTCACCAGACTGTGGTTTGCCCCTGCTGGTGTCTTCACTCTGACTGAGGAGTTGAAGAATTAGTGGAAGAAGCTGTCATTGTAAAACCATTGCTCTCCAAATTCCACAGAATAAATTACATTCTACTCATGTGGGATATTTGGTACACCTGTGACCAAGACATGGCACTTACATATTCTAGTTAACTTTTGCATTTAAAATAAATTCAGTATTTAGCATGCACTATTTGTTGTTATCAATAACATTTTATGACATAATAATGGGAACATAATTTCACATCTCTCTTGCACCATATTTCGTGAAGCATAAGGATGAAGCTACAACTTAACTTATTTCATCAAGTCTACGTCCTCAGCCCAAATAAATAAATAATCACCTTCTGTTTTGAGGCAAACAATATATAGCTAAAGAAATGTAATTTATACATTTTATATTATACATTTAAATAATTAAAATTATCTGCAAAGATGTGAATATAAAGCAAGATTGGTGTCATCTGAGAGAAAAGCATTCTTTTTTTATTTAACTTTTATTTTAAGTTCAAGGGTAGGAGTGCAGGTTTGTTCTATAGGTAAACTTGTGTTATAGAGGTTTGTGGTACAGAATATTTCATCACCCAAGTACTAAGCCTAGTACCCATTAATTATTATCCTGATCCTCCCCCTCCTCCCAATCTCCACCCTTTCATAGGCCTCAATGTGTGTTGCTCCCCTCTATGTGTCCTTGTACTCTCAACATTTAGCTCACACTTCTAAGTGAGAACATGAGGTATTTGGTTTTCTGTTCCTGCATTAGTTTGCTAAAGATAATGGTCTCTATCTCCGTCTATCTTCTTGCAAAGGACAAGATCTCGTTTTTTTCCTTATGGCTGCCTAGTATTCCATGATGTATATGTGCATTTTCTTTATCCAGTTTATCACCAATGGGCTTTTAGGTTGATTACCTGTATTGTGAATAGTGCTGCAGTGAATATACATGTACATTTGTCTTTATAGTAGAACAATTTATATTCACTTGGGCATATACCCAGGCATGGAATTGCTGGATATTTCTGTTCTGAGGTCTTTGAGTAATCCCCACACTGTCTTCCACAATGGTTAAACCAAGATACATGAGGCCAAGAATCATAAGAAAAAGCTCAACATCACTGATGATTAACAAAATGGAAATCAAAACTACGAGATACCTTCTCACACCAGTCAGAATGGCTATTATCAAAAAGCCAAAAAAATTAGATGCTGGCAAGGTTGTGAAGAAAAAGAAATGTTTATCTGCTATTGATGAAAGTGTAAAAAAGCATTCTTCTTTGTCCAATATTGAATTTTATTTACCTCAAGAGAACCTATAAGTGAAATGAACTCATTTCGACATACATACACATAAATCATGGGCAGCATGGTTGAAAGATGTCGAACCTCTAGAGACTTTTAATATCTAAGGTACACAACTTCTTTTGGGATTACTCCGAAGTTGAAAGTAATTTATTTTGTCAATAAAAACATTTATTTGCCATTTTTGGGGAACCCTTGATATGCCAAATTATTTTCTTGTTATTAATAAATTTCAAAATGTGTTTTGAAAGCATTTTATCACCTGCAGCTTATTGGCAGGTAAATTTGAACCATCTTTGTTACCTCTCTTTTTCAAAGGCGAAATGTGTTTCTGTTTATTCTTTTGAGGGTTAGTTTAGTGTTACATAAAGAATGATGACTCCAGGTCAGTGGTCAAACCATGTTTCTGGTTTGAGTTTCCAAATTTCAAGTGAATTTGTGGATGACCTTGGACAAGTCACTTTTTTCACCCATCCAGTTACTTTTAAGGTTGTAAACTCTGATCCCTATGTATTTTCTGCCTAATAATTTTCATGAGTCTCGATTTTTTGGCAGAGCTTAAAGCAATTTTCCCATCTGAATTTCAAGATATTTCTGTAAAGTACTTTTAAAAATAGATAGTATTGTCACACTTATTTCTACATCTGTGAGCTTAATCATATTTAAGCATTTCCAACGTCTAAGCATGAAGCCAAGTTATCTCTTTCTCTATTTCTCTTCTGTATTTTTTTCTTCCTGTCTCTCTCTGTCTCTCTCTCTCTCTCACACACACACACACACACACACACACACACACACACACACACTCTTTCTTCTTTTCCAATCTACATTTTCTTGAGATATTGCATATGAAGTCAAAATTCCCTAATGTCAAACTCATCTAATAGACTTTCTCAATAACTGGTGAGAAGAAATTAATAAATTCTGGGTACTTTGACACTGGAAAAAACTTTGCCCAAACACAATTCTGTTGTTGATTTTTCAGACTAAATTGAGGAAGTATATGCTTTAGAGTTTAAATAATTTAAGTTTGCATCCATGTATCCATGTTCTTTGGCTTGATAGTATGTAAACTTGCCAATACTGCATGTTCTCACTTATAAGTGGGAGCTAAACAACAAGAATACATGGACACATAGCAGGGAACAACAACAACATAACCACGGCCTACTTGAGAATAGGGGTGAGGGGAGGGAGAGGAGCAAAAAAATACCTAAAATACCTATTAGGTGCTATGTTTGTTACCTGGTGATGAAATAATCTGTACATCAAGCCACTTTGTCTGTGTAACAAACCTGCATATGTACCCCAACCCTAAAATTAAAAAAGGAAAGACTTAAAATCATACTTCTCTTTTTTTTTTTTTCTTGAGATGGAGTCTTACTCTCTTGCCCAGGCTGGAGTGCAGTGGCACTGTCTCGACTCACTACTACCTCTGCCTCCCAGGTTCAAGCGATTCTCTTGCCTCAGCCTCCCGAGTGGCTGGGATTACAGGCACCCGACATCATGCCCAGGTAATTTTTGTATTATTGTAGAGACGGGGTACCACCATGTTGGCCGGGCTGGTCTTGAACTCCTGACCTCAGATGTTCTACCCGCGTTGGCCTCCCAAAGTGCTGGGATTACAGGTGTGAGCCACCAAGCCTGGTACATCATACTTATTTCACATAGGAATACTTTTATTCTTCAAGGTAAGGATAATATTAGAATACTAAAGAAGTAGTAAGATAATACTAGTAAACTGTTTAGAGGTAAAACTGCACAAATAATGACAACTTTTTGTGTGCTTCACATGCAACAGCCATTGGGAAGAGAGTTATCCCTATATCATTCTAAGATCATCTCAACCAAAATGTAAGATAGTCATTTCCCTATTCTGCAGATGAGTACACTGAGGCTCTGAAGTACATTGCTTGTCCAAGGTGGCATAGTGAAAGTGGTATACCAAAGGTATAATCCCAGACCTGACTGACTTCAGTAATAACTTCTACTTGTACTCATTTTACCAATGATTTATTCTTTGAGGCATCTGACATTGTAACACAACCATGAGATGCATAGGACGTGCATTCCTATGATCATCTATCCTGACAGACGGCACTTTTTAGAACAATTGTCCAACCAGAAAGAAAGGGACTCACTGAAATTTTATATGATGCAGGCCAATATTTTGCTGAAATGCATAATTGTCAATATGTAAATAAAAGAAGACAGAACCCATGTGAAAGTGAGAGATAAGATTATATTATTGATCAAGAATTTTGATCTATTTTATTTAAAAAATCTTCTTCTCATCCACACTCCTTAACTGCTCCTATACCTGAGCTGTGTCTAGAATTTTACTTATTATTTTTTTCATAATTACCTGAATCGTCCTTTAGGGAGATGATCCCAGTGTTCCTAATGTTTAAGACATTATTATAAATAGTGAGAAGTTATCATTTTCTACTCTCTATGCTGAAGGTAGGTCTGCAAGTTTTTCACTCATTACAATAGAGATTGATGTAGTCAAATATTTTAATTTCACTCTCTGTCTTGAAGAGGCAACTAATACCTTATTCACAGACTTATTTTGTTATCAGAGTGTCTTCTTGTATGAAATTATATTATTGGGAACTTTTTGTATTTCTATCCCTGGTTTGTTGAAAACTTTGTAAGAATGAGCTTATTATAATGAAGATTTGCAAAACTCCTCATTTCTCATTTTTTGTCCTCTCATTCTCTTTTACAGACAAAAACTATTAACTTTCATAATATTGTTTAAATATATGTATGAATGGAGTTGGGGATATAGGGTCAGTTGGCATGATTGGTCCAGTAATTTATGCCTTCACTGGTTTTCTTCATGAAAAATTCCTGAAGTGTTAATAGAAATGAATTTTGGGTTTTATTTGTCGATTACAAATTCAATCTTCTTGATTATTTTGATAGATGATACACATTTAGGTATTAAATTAATTTTCTCCCAGAAATCATTATCATCTGATCCTGGGATGATAAACTTGGACAAGTAGAGAGTTGCAGTGATTTACTATCTCAGTGGTTTAGGCTGCTCTGGGGTAACCAAAGCTCTTAAAAGTCCATTAAAGATGAACTATGAAAGAGATAACTTCCACATATTGTGGAGGATGAGCAAACTGAATTTCAAATGAAAAGAAATATAATGGTAGAAGAGGCTGTCAAAGATGCAGCAATAGAAGATTGTTAAAGACACAACACTAAAATGATTTTGTTTGCATCCCAATTCTGCTAATTAGTAGACCTCTGACCCAGGGAGACTTTCTTAATCTCTCAGTGTTTAGCTTCCTCATTTGTAAAATGGTCATGCAAATAAAACCTGTTTTACAGGACATTTGCGTAGAAGAGTTTTCCTGAACATTCAATAACAGCTATTCTTATAAGTATTACAAGGCTGGGACTGTTGCCTCTAGAAAAATATTTCTTAGAGAGTTTTAATTATACTGGATTATTGTACTATGTTTAGTGGATCTAGAGATCAGGGCATGTAGAAATCATATGTATAACTATTTCTAAATTTCTGTTAAATGTAACTACTAAGCAAGACAGTTTAAGGAGTTTCAAGGTAAACAAAACAAACTAATATTAGGCTGGTACAAAAGTAATTGCATTTTTGCCATTGAAAGTAACGGCAAAACCCACAATAACTTTTGCAGCAACCTAAATGCTAAAGCGCTAATGATTTTGTGTAAAATAAGAAAAGTACATCACACTGTGACTGAAACAAAATGTAGTGTTAGTTTATGTTTCTTAGATGCCTTGATGCTTTATTTCATATATTTTATACTTAATACAGTAGTAACACTAACCCAAGTCAAATTCTGTTAGTAACAGGAAACCAGTAGAGATCAGAAATTTTTACATAGGAAAATCTCTGACCACAGCATCTGCAGCTCTTTACCTAGTTTGACATTTATAATGAGCCAAAAAAGTGAAACTACAATCATGGACATCTATAGCAAAGGAAAGTTGGATCAGAACTAAAACTGCAATGTCTATTATGTTATATATTCAGTTCATTTTATGTATAGTATATTTAAACCCTGTATTGTACATTTTTGCAAAGTGTACATTGTTTTTAAATTATTTGAATTAAAATAAGGACAAACGCAACTCAGTTTCAAGAATAAAACAAATTCATTTACTTTCCTTTTGAAACAATTTCTCCATAGGCAACACAGACTTGGCCTATACTAAGGCAATGCCTAATTTCACGGATGTGACAGAATTTACTCTCCTGGGGCTGACCTGTCGTCAGGAGCTACAGGTTCTCTTTTTTGTGGTGTTCCTAGCGGTTTACATGATCACTCTGTTGGGAAATATTGGTATGATCATTTTGATTAGCATCAGTCCTCAGCTTCAGAGTCCCATGTACTTTTTCCTGAGTCATCTGTCTTTTGCGGACGTGTGCTTCTCCTCCAACGTTACCCCCAAAATGCTGGAAAACTTATTATCAGAGACAAAAACCATTTCCTATGTGGGATGCTTGGTGCAGTGCTACTTTTTCATTGCCGTTGTCCACGTGGAGGTCTATATCCTGGCTGTGATGGCCTTTGACAGGTACATGGCCGGCTGCAACCCTCTGCTTTATGGCAGTAAAATGTCTAGGACTGTGTGTGTTCGGCTCATCTCTGTGCCTTATGTCTATGGATTCTCTGTCAGCCTAATATGCACACTATGGACTTATGGCTTATACTTCTGTGGAAACTTTGAAATCAATCACTTCTATTGTGCAGATCCCCCTCTCATCCAGATTGCCTGTGGGAGAGTGCACATCAAAGAAATCACAATGATTGTTATTGCTGGAATTAACTTCACATATTCCCTCTCGGTGGTCCTCATCTCCTACACTCTCATTGTAGTAGCTGTGCTACGCATGCGCTCTGCCGATGGCAGGAGGAAGGCGTTCTCCACCTGTGGGTCCCACTTGACGGCTGTTTCTATGTTTTATGGGACCCCCATCTTCATGTATCTCAGGAGACCCACTGAGGAATCCGTAGAGCAGGGCAAAATGGTGGCTGTGTTTTACACCACAGTAATTCCTATGTTGAATCCCATGATCTACAGTCTGAGAAATAAGGATGTAAAAGAAGCAGTCAACAAAGCAATCACCAAGACATATGTGAGGCAGTAAAACTGTAGTGGATATTGTTGTCCCTATTATAAATAGGGTCCTGTTATAAATGGTCACATGTAAAAGTCCTAGCTCAGAAAACAGTATCAAAAGGTAACTCTTTCACACACTAAGAGGTCTGATGTAACAGGGTGATGTTTTACCCCTTGTATGGACTCTAATTACTAAGCATATTTTCTCCTATATGTGCGCCAATATTATGAAAGATGACACAATGTTCATTCACAATATGCTTAAAATTGGGCTAAGTTTAGTCACTGGAGGAACTCACAAATGAGTGTACATACATATATGTTAAGTTGGAAGTATGCTTGTTAGTGTTGGATGTTATTTTGCAGAGTACTTTATACATATACATATTCCTCAAACTAGATTTCATGTGAAATATACAAATTCTCAGAAAAAAGTAAATACTTCATTTCTTTTTCATGGCCATAGAATACTGATGAACAGTTTACCTAAAAAGTGTTTAAAATTTTGAAAATGCAATTATATTTAGAATTTTAAACTAGTGTCTTAATATAATCCTGTTTGTCATCATTTCACATAATTTGATAGTTAATAATGTTTTGTTTCAATGGTCTGTTTTCTTACCCTAACTCTACTCCTTGATGGGTACTCATTTACACATTCTTTTATGTTAGTAGGGTGAACTCTCTCTGACAAAAGATTTTCCTGCCCTAATCATAATGAAAAGATGAGGCAGTATACATTTTCTGACACAAAGTCTGAGCTTTGGCAATACCATATTGTCTTATTAAACCATTGATTGATAATATGATTTGAAAGTTTTCTTTGCTTCCAGCTCTTTTCACTAACATTAAATTCTTTGACTTTGTATATAGCAACTTAAATCAAGCTTTTAATGTCTATAGTTGATAAACCAGATAAGAAGAACTGTTCAGCTAAATTGTATGGGACCCTCACTCAAAGGTGACCAGCAGAGTTCTAAATTGCATCCCATTTGGGCCTGGTTAAACATTTTTAAAAGCTCACTGTTTGTCTAGATTGGTGCTTCCATAGCTTACTTGTTCTACATTATATTCTTGTTAAAGACAACAATGGAAATTTGTTTGCCCCAGGTGACTCTTGCTAAGTTAACTGCATAAAGGCAAGTGGGAGATAAAGGTGATTGCTGATGAGTGAGTTTATTCGGGATGTGATAATCCAACTACAAGGGTGCACAATTCAATTAGTATGTACAAGTTGACTCTGAGAAGTAAAATATAGTTGTGGTAATGCTTGTAGGAAGATGGACTAATTCAAACACAGAAAGCATTGTTATTCATGCAAATTTACCATGGTTCACTTTCCTAGTAACTTAGAATGGATCTGAGTAAAGGTAGATGGGATACGTACTCTTTCATAAATTTACATTCTGAAAGTAAAGTATGATCTGCTTGTATTGAAAATTGTGTTAACACTATGTTTATATTTCTAAACCACCCAAATTTGCTTCTAAAAAGTCAGGATGAAGAACAAAACGCAGGGCTACTCAAGCAACAACTTCTTTTACAGAGATCGGCGTCACAACCTGACATTCTAAGGCCTTATTTTTTGGGGGGTCATTATGGCAGAGCTATTCCTCATTCTCCACTAGTTCATTTTTCCTTTTAGAAATATAAAACTTGCTATCCAACTGTATGTCAGAGTTCTAATCTCTCCTTATTATCCTGATATACATTTGTGGGGGTTTGGGCTTTTTTGTTTTAACAACTTAAACAGCATAAATTTATTATTTCAGAATTGCCATGGGTTATGAGTGCAGGTAAAGATAAAATGGGCCTGCTGCTCAGGGTCTTCTCAGGCAGAAATCAATTTCTTGGTCAGGTCTGTGGTTCCACCTGAGACTCTGGGTCCTCTTTCCAGTTCATTCAATATGTTTTCAGTTTTTATTACATTTGAGGGGCTCATGTCTAAGTTTGTTACATGGGTATATTGTGTGATGCTGAGACTTAGGATACAAATTATCTCATCACCCAGGTAGTGAGCATGGTACAGAACTGTTAGTTTTCCAATCCTTGCCCCACTCTTTCCTCCCCACTCTAATAGTCTCCAGTGTCTATTGTTCCCATCTATATGTCCACAAGTGTCCAATGTTTAGCTCTGGCTTATAAGTGAAAATATGCGGTATTTGGTTTTCTGTTCCAGCATCAATTTACCTAGGATTATGTCCTTCAGCTGTATTCATGTTACTGCAAAGGACATGATTTCATTTTTTTCTAAGACTGTGTAGTATTCCATGGTGTATATACACCACATTTTCTTGGTGATACATAGTGTATATTTGCCACATCCAGTCAACTGTTGATGGACACCTCGGTTGATTCCATGTATTTGCTATTGTTAATTGCTCTGTATTCAACTTACAAATGTATATGTCCTTTTGGTAGAATGGATAACAACAGGAGACAGACAAATTCCTAGGCTGACAGGGTTGGGTCCAGGTGAAACTCCACCTTCAAGCCCAGGACAGTCTAAAGCCTGAAAGCCAAGCTGCTAGTTCCAGACAGAATCCACTGACAGAGGGAGAACTCCCATCCCCACCTTACCCATGCTCTTGATTGATTCCTTCTGAATGATGCCTTTTAACCAACCGAATGGTGTCTTTTCCAAGCCCACCAATAAAACAATCAGCATGCATTCCCCAGTCTAAGCCCATAAAAAGCCCAGACTCAGCCTCACATAAGGCTACCCACTTTTGGGTCCCCTCTCACTGTTGAGAGTGTTTCTTTCACTCAATAAATTTTAATGAGACTTACTTACTCTCCAGTGTCCATGTACCTCATTCCTCTTGGTCTCAAGAGAAGAACTTGGAACTCATGGAACTGCAGAAATGAAAGAGCTATAACACTTCCTCTCACTCGCCAAACTATGGGAGTGAAGAAGCTGCTGGGCACCACTCCCTCCTGCTCACCAAACGACAGGAGTAAGAAAGCTGCAACAGAACAATTTGTTTTCTTTTCAATATATACACAGTAATGGGATTGCTGGATTGGATGGTAGTTCTGTTTCACGTTCTTTGAGAAATCTCCAAAGTGCTTTCTGCAGTGACTGAACTGATTTACATTCCCACCAACAGTGTATAAATGTTACCTTTTGTTGGAAGCCTCACCAACATTTGTTGTTTTTTTGGCTTTTTAACAATAGCCGTTCTGACTGGTGTGAGATGGTATCTTATTGTGGTTTTGATTTACATTTCTGTGATGATTAGTGATGTTGAGTATTTTTTCATGTGTCTCTTTGGCCACTTGTATGTATTTTTTAGAAAATTGTTCATATCTTTTGATTACTTTTTAATGGAGTTATTTATTTTTTGCTTGTTGAATCATTTAAGTTTCTTATAAACTCTGGATATTAGACCTTTGTCATAGTTTGTGAATATTTTCTTTCATCCTGTAGGCTATCTGTTTCCTCTGTTGATAGTTTCTTTGGCTGTGCAGAAACACTTCATTTAATTAGGCCCCACTTGTGAATTTTTGTTTTTGTTGCAGTTGCTCATTTAACAATTGCTAAATTGCTGAATGCATTTAGTCACAAATTCTTTTCCAAGGCCCATGTCCAGAAGGGTGTTTCCTAGGTTTTCTTCTAGGCTTCTTACTTTTTGAGCACTTACATTTAAACTTTAATTCATCTTAAGTTAATTTTTGTATATGGTGAAAAGTAGGGGTGAGGTTTCATTCTTCTGCATATGAATAGCCAGCAACATTTAATGAATAGGAGGTCATTTTTTTTTTTTGACTTTCACAATTATCAGATGGCTGTAGGTGTGCAGCTTTATTTCTGGAATCCCTATTCTTTTCCAATGTGGTATATGACCATTTCTGTAACAGAGCCATGCTCTTTTGGTTACTGTAGCTATACAGTATAGTTTGAAGTCAGGTAATGTGATACTTCTGGCTTTGGTTTTTCTCTTTTCTTTTTCTTTCTTTTTTTTTCTCACTATTCAGGCTCTTTTTGGTTGCATAGGAATTTAAGAATCGTTTTTTTCTAATTCTGTGGAGAATGACGTTGGTAGTTTGATAGGAATAGTGCTGAGTCTGTAGATTGCTTTAGGCAGTATGGCCATTTTAATGATGCCAGTTCTTTCAATCCATGAGCATGGACTGTTTTTCCAATTCATTGTGTCATGTATGACTTCTTTCAGCAGTGTGTAGTTATTATAGAAATCTTTCACCTCCTTGGTTAGATGTATTCTTATGCATTCTATTTTTTTAGTGGCTATTGTAAATGGGATTGTGTTCTTGATTCAGTTCTCAGCTTGGATGTTATTGATACATAAAAATGCTGCTGATTTTTTTTACATTTATTTTGTATCCTGCAACTTTACTGAAGTCATTTATTTGTTTAAACAACTTTTGGCAGAGTTTTTAGTGTTTACTAGGTATAGAATCGTATTAGCAGCAAAGAAAGATTGTTTGACTTTTTCTTTTCCTATTTGGATGCCTTTTATTGCTTACTATTGCCTGATTGCTCTGGATAGGACTTTCAGTAGTATGTTGAATAGGAGTGATGAGTGTGGGCATCCTTGTCTTGTTCAGTTTTCGAGGATAATGCTCCCAGCTTTTGCCCATTTAGCATAATGTTCACTATGGATTTCTCATAGATGGCTCTTATTATTTTGAGGTATGTGTTTTTGATGCCCAGTTTGTTGAGGGTTTTTTATCATGAAGGGATGTTAGACTCTCACCAGTTGTGGGCCCCTCAACTTTGGATTTCCCAGCCTCTAGAACTATAAGACACAAATATTTTTTCTTATTAATTACCCAGACTATGGATAATTTATATGTTATAGCAATGCAGATGAAGAAATTTTTTTTAATTTTTTTTAAATATGTGTATGCAAATATCTCTCTTCTAATAAGGATATCAGTCACATTGGATTAAGGGCACACGCTACAATATGACTTCATCTAGTCACATCTTTCATGACTGTATTTTCAAATATATATCATTCAGAGGGATTGGGCTTTAGAACATGTATTTTTAGAGAACACAATTTAACCCATAGTAAGTAACAATAGCTTAAGATCTGTATTGGTTAAAAATGTATAGTGGAGGTTTGCCTAGTTTATACCTAGCTAGAAACATGGTGCAGAGAAAATAACTAAGAATTAATGAACCCAAGAAAGAGCTTGTATGAAAATGCTAACAGAGAGAAATAGCCTAGAAGTAGGACACAGTATTAACTAATGTGTCACAGTGTGGCTAAGGACTCACCAAGTGTTAAAGTAAAATGAATCCTATCTAATTATTAACTTGCCCTAGGAAGGAATCTTACGCTGAGGTAAAGTGCCAAGAATCAAGTATCTGAAAAGTATTATAAGAACAATTAAAAGGAGGATTAGGGTGCTAAATGCAGTAACTAATGAACCACCAAAACAAAGTAACTTAAAAAGATAGGTTTATATTTCTTTTTTATGCAATCAGGTGATTATGAGTATTAAATAAGGCAATTAGACCCTCAAGATGTGTCTCCCATAATACCATCTAGGGTGTTCAATTCAGTGGCCACATTTTGGAGTATGAAAATGAGGAGAAAGTTCAGGTTTAGTGGCTTTGGCCTTTAGGAGATTATTCTTAACTTTACATATAACTTTCTTCTGATCTATTGTCAAAACTTAGTAACAAATGTATACTTCTGTTCATAACAGTCTCTGAGGATCTTTTGCATTTCTGTGGGATTGGTTATATGCACACAACCTAGAAAATTTAGAGGAAGTGGATAAATTCCTGGAAACACACACCTTCCCCAAATTAAATCAGGCAGAAATTGAAACCCTGAACAAACCAAATTATGTTCTGCAATTGAATCAATAATAAAAATTCTAGCAACTTTTTTTTTAAATAAAAGCCCTGGAACAGATTGATTCACAGGTGTACCAGATGTACAAAGAAGAGCTAGTTACCAATTCTACTGAAACTATTCCAAAAAATTGAGGATGAAGATATACTCCCTAACTCATTCTTAAGCCAGCAACACCCTGACACCAGACTCTGTCAGAGGCACTCACACATACACAAAGGAAACTTCAGGCTAGTATCCTTGAAGAACATAGATGCAAAAATCCTCAACTAAATACCAGCAAAGTGAATCCACGAGCACACTGAAAAGTTAATTCACCACAAGCAAGTAGGTTGCATTCCTGGGATGCAAGGTTGTTTCAACATGCATCAACCAATAAGTGTAATTTACAATATAAAGAGAATTAAAAATAAAAACTATACAATCACCTCAACCTATTCAAAAAACTATTTGAGAAAAATCTAACATCCCTTCATGATAAAAACCCTCAACAACCCGGGCATCAAAACAACATACCTCAAAATAATAAGCGCAATCTATGAGAAATCCACAGCCAACATCATGCTGAATGGGCAAAAGCTGGAAATGTTCTCCTTGAGAACTGAACAAGAAAAGGATGCCACCACTCATCACTCTTATTTAACATACTACTGGAAGTCCTAGCCAGAGCAATCAGGCAAGAGTAAGAAATAAAAGGCATCCAAATAAGAAAAGAAAAAGCCAAACAATCTTTCTTTGCTGCCAATGTGATTCTATACCTAGAAAACACTAAAGACTCTGCCAAAAGGTTCCTTGAACTAATAAATGACTTCCGTAAAGTTTCAGAATACAAAATAAATGTAAAAATCAGTAGCATTTTTGTATACCAATAACATCCAAGCAGAGAGTTTAATCAAGAACATAATCCCATTTACAATAGCCACCAAAAGATAAAAAATAAAATACATAAGAATACATATAACCAAGGAGGTGAAAGATTTCTCTAAGAACTAAAAACAAAACACTGCCGAAGGAAATCATACATGACACAACTAATTGGAATCAGTATCATTAAAATGGCCATACTGCCTAATGCAACCTACAGACTCAGTACTATTCCTATCAAACTACCAACATCATTCTTCACAGCATTAGAAAAAAAAAAACTATTCTTAAATTCCTATGGAACCAGAAAGAGCTTGAGTACCAAAAAAAAAAAAAAAAAGAAAGAAAGAAAGAAAGAAAGAAAGAAAGAAAGAAAAATAGAAAAGAAAAGAAAAAGAAAAAGAAAAAACAACGCCAGAAGCATCACATTACTTAAATTCAAACTATACTATATAGCTATGGTAACCAAAAAGCAAGGCACTGGTACAAAAACAGACATATACACCAGTGAAAAAGAATAGAGAATCCACAAATAAAGCTGCATACCTACAGTCATCTGACATTTGAGAAAGTCAGAAAAAAAAAAAAAACCTCCTATTCATTAAATATTGCGGGGATAGCTGGCTATTCATATGCAGAAGAATGAAATTTGACACCTACTTTTCACCATCTACAAAAATTAAGGTGAATTAAAGTTTAAATGTAAGAAGTCAAAAAGTAAGAAGCCTAGAAGAAAACCTGGGAAACATCATTCTGAACATGGGCCTTGGGAAATAATTTGTGGCTAAATGCATTCAGCAATTTAACAATTGCTATGTTAGCAATTTGCAACAAAAACAATAATTCATAAGTGGGACCTAACTAATTAAATGAAGAGTTTCTGCACGGCCAAAGAAACTGTTGACTAAGGAAATAGCCTGCAGGATGAAAGAAAATATTCACAAACTATGACCAAGCCCTAATATCCAGAATTTATAAGAAACTTAAATGAATCAACAAGCAAAAATTAAATAACTCCATTAAAAAGTGGTCAAAAGACATGGGCAGTTTTCTAACATATACAAGTTGCCAAAGAAACATATGAAAAAATACTCAACATCACTAATCTTTGTAGAAATGTAAATCAAAACCACAGTAAGACACCATCTCACACCAGTCGGAATGGGCATCATTAAAAAGCCAAAAAACAACAGATGCTGGCAAGGCTGCCAACAAACGGTAACATTTATACACTGTTGGTGGGAATGTGAATTAGTTCAGTCACTGTAGAAAGCACTTTGGAGATTTCTCAAAGAACTTGAAACAGAACTACATTCAACCCAGCAATCCCATTACTGTATGTATATCCAAAAATAAAAATAAAAAATAAATTGTTCTGTTGTGGCTTTCTTACTCCTGTAGTTTGGCAAGCAGGAGGGGGTGTTGACCAGTGGCTTCTTCACTCCCATACTTCAGTGAGTGGGAGGGAGTGGCACCCATTACCTTCTTCACTCCCACAGATTGGTGAACTGGAGGAAGTGTTACAGCTCTTTGACTCCTGCAGTTCCATGAGTTCCAGGTTCTTCTCTCAAGACCAAGAGGAATGAGGTACATGGACACTGCAGAGTAAGTAAGGCTCAGTAAAATTTATTAAGTGAAAGAAACACTCTCAACAGTAAGAGGGGACCCAAAAGTGGACAGCCTCACGTAAGGCTGAGTCTGAGCTTTTTATGGGTTTAGAATAGGGAATGCATGCTGACTGATTTATCGGTGAGCTTGGAAAAGACACCATTCGATTGGTTAAAAGGCATCATTCAGGAAAAAAAAAATTGAAAGAGTGGGTAAGATAGGGATGGGAGTTCTCCCTCTGGTCAGTGGATTCTATCTGGAACTAGTGGCTCAGTTTTCAGGCCTTAGACTGTCCTGGGCTTGAAGGTGGAGTTTCACTAGGGACTGAACCCTGTCTGCCTACGAATTTGTCTCTTTCCTGTTGCTAAAAGTTCTACACGTTGATAATTATGCATTTTGGCAAAATATTGGTTTGCATCATATAAAATTTCAGTGAGTCTCTTTCTGGTTGGACAACTGTTCAAAAAAGCACCATCTGTCAGGATAGATGATCATAGCAATGCATGTCCCATGCATCTCATGGCTGTGTTCAGATGTCAGATGCCTCAAACAATAAATCACTGGCAGAATGAGTAAAAGTAGAAGTCATTACTGAAGTCAGACAGATCTGAAATTATACCTTTGCTATACACACGCTTTCATTATGTTACCTTGGACAAGCGATGTACTTCTGTGCCTCAGTGTACTTATCTGTAGAATAGGGAATCTATTATCTTACATTTTGGTTGAGATGATCTTAGAATAATATAGGGATAACTCTGTTCCCAATGCCTGTTGCACGTGAAGCAGACAAAAAGTTGTCATTATTTGTGCAGTGTTACCTCTAAACAGTTTACTATTATTATCTTACCACTTCTTTAGGATTGAGGTTAATATTATCCTTACTTTGAAGAATAAAAGTATTCCTATGTGAAAAAAATATGATGTTAAATTTTCCATTTTTTAAATTTAGGTTTAGGGGTACATATGCAGGTGTGTTATTCAGACAAACTGGTGTCACAGAGGCTTGGTGTACACATTATTTCATCACCCAGATAATAAGCATAGCACCTGATAGGTATTTTTTTGCTCCTCTCCTTCCTCCCACCCTCCATTCTCAAGGAGGCTGTGGTGTCTGTTGTTCCCCTCTATGTGTTCATGTATTCTTGTTGTTTAGCCCCCACTTGTAAGTGAGAACATGCAGTATTGGCAAGTTGAGATACTATCAAGCCAAAGAATACAGATGCAAACCTACACTATTTAAATTCTGAAAAGTATACTTCTTAAATTTAGTCTGGAAAATCATGAACAGAATTGTGCTTGGGAAAATTTTTTTTCAGCCCCAAAGTACCCAGAATTTATGAATTTCTTCTCACCTATTATTGAGAAAGTCTATTGGATGAGTTTGACACTAGGGAATTTTGACTTCATATGCAATATCTCAAGAAAATGTAGAAATCAGAGTCTACAACCTTAAAAATAACTAGATGGGTGACAAAAAGTGACTTGTCCAAGGTCATCCACAAATTCACTTGAAATTTGGAAACTGAAACCAGAAACATGATTTGACCACTGACCTAGATTCATCGTTCTTTATGTAACACTAAACTAACTCTCCAAAAGAATAAAGAGAAAATGCATTTTACCTTTGAAAAAAAGAGGTAACAAAGATGGTTCAAATTTACCTGCCAACAGGCTGCAAGTGATTAAATGCTTAAAAACATATTTAGCAATTGATTAATAATAAGAAACTAATTTGGCATATCAAGAGTTCCCCAAAAATGGCAAATAAATGTTCTTATTGCCAAAATAAATTACTTTTAACTTTAGTCCCAAAAGAACCTTATGTACCTTAGATATTAAAAGTCTCTAGAGGTTTAACATTTTTCATCCAAAGACACAGTGACACTATAATTGAATCTAAATTAGCAATTTGTTTATATATGCAAAAGGTTTTAAAATGTTGCCCATGATTTATACGTATGTATGTGGAAAGGAGTTCATTGCATTTTTGGTTTCTCTTGATGTAAATAAAATTCAATAATGGACAAAGAAGAATGCTTTTTTACACTTCCACCAACAGTGTACAAACGTTCCTTTTTCTTCCCAATCTGGCCAGCATCTGATATTTTTTTGGGTTTTTGATAATAACCATTATTACTCATGTGAGACAGTATCTCGTTGTGGTTTCAATTTGCATGTATTTAATTATCAGTGATGTTGAGCTTTTTCATATGATTCTTGGCCTCATGTATCTAAGTTCAACCTTTGTGGGAAACAGTGTGGTGATTCCTCAAAGACCTAAAACAGAAATATCCAGCAATTCCATTCCTGGGTATATGCCCAAAGGAATATATATTGTTCTACTATAAAGACACATGTCCATGTATATTCATTGCAGCACTATTCACAATAGCAAACACATGTAATCAACCTAAAAGCCCATCAGTGATAGACTGGATAAAGAAAATGTACAGATACGCCATGGAATACTATGCAGCCATAAGAAAATAAAAAAAAAATGAGATCTTGTCCTTTGCAAGAACATAGATGGAGATACAGACCATTATCTTTAGCTAACTAATGCAGGAGTAGAAAACCAAATACCTCATGTTCTCACTTAGAAGTGTGAGTTAATAGTTCAACCATTGTGGAAGTCAGTGTGGCGATTCCTCAGGGATCTAGAACTGGAAATACCATTTGACCCAGCCATCCCATTACTGGGTATATACCCAAAGGACTATAAATCATGCTGCTATAAAGACACATGCACACGTATGTTTATTGTGGCACTATTCACAATAGCAAAGACTTGGAACCAACCCAAATGTCCAACAATGATAGACTGGATTAAGAAAATGTGGCACATATACACCATGGAATACCATGCAGCCATAAAAAATGATGAGTTCATGTCCTTTGTAGGGACATGGATGAAATTGGAAAACATCATTCTCAGTAAACTATCGCAAGAACAAAAAACCAAACACCGCATATTCTCACTCATAGGTGGGAATTGAACAATGAGATCACATGGACACAGGAAGGGGAATATCACACTCTGGGGACTGTTGTGGGGTGGGGGGAGGGGGGAGGGATAGCATTGGGAGATATACCTAATGCTAGATGACGAGTTAGTGGGTGCAGTGCACCAGCATGGCACATGTATACATATGTAACTAACCTGCACAATGTGCACATGTACCCTAAAACTTCAAGTATAATAATAATAAAAAAGAAGTGTGAGTTAAATGTTGAGAGCACATGGACACATAAAGGGGAGCAACACACACTGAGGGCTATGAGAGGGTAGAGGTTGGGACGAGGGAGAGGATCAGGAAAAATACCTAATGAGTACTAAGCTTAATACCTGCATGACAAAATAATCTGTACCACAAACCTCTATGAAACACGTTTACCGATATAACAAACCTGCGCACCTACCCTTGAACTTAAAATAAAAGTTAAAGAAAAGAAGAATGCTTTTTTCTCAGATGGCGCCAATCTTGTTTTATATTCACATCTTTGCAGATAATTTTTAATTTTTTAAATGTACAATTCAAAATATGTAAGTTACATTTCTTTAGCCATATATTGTTTGCATCAAAACAGATAGTGATTATTTACTTATTTATTTAGCCTAAGGACGTAGACTTTGATGAAATAAGTTAAGTTGTAGCTTCATCCTTGTGCTTCATGAAATAAGATGCAAGAGATGTGAAATTATGTTCCCATTATTATGTCAGAAAATCTTATTGATAACAACAAATAGTGCATCCTAAATACTGAATTTATTTCAAATGCAAAAGTTAACTAGAATATGTAAGTGCCATGTCTTGGTCACAGGTGTACCAAATATCTCACATGAGTGGAATGTAATTCATTCTGTGGAATTTGGAGAGCCATGGTTTTACAATGACAACTTCTTCCACTAATTCTCCTACTCTTCAGTCAGAGTGAAGACACCAGCAGGGGCAAACCACAGTCTGGTGACTGGCAATCGTAGAGTTGAAACATGGCAGTTACTGGGATCTGTGAAAAAGAGACATCTACCACGTTGTTTCTTAAGAAACACCAAAAAGTTAAAAAACATAAAATACAATAGTATTGCTATTTTCAAAGTAGCAGTCTCTGAACAGACCCTACCCAACATAATGAAAGACGCATTAAACAATAAACAATCTCATAACCATTAGTGAGAACACTATTTTACATCCTCACACTGGAAAACCAAATTAAATATTTTGAATTTTTTCTGCCCCAAATTAGTGTTTAATTGGGCAAATGAATATTACCTAAATTCATGCAACTGCACTTTTGAATAAGAGAAATTCTTTTCATTGCAGCTAAGTATTTGAGCAACTTCCATTAGCACACCTATGAACTTTGGCACACATCACCATTTCAACTAATTAATTTATTCATATTTAATTAATCTCCATACTCACATGAACAGAAGTGAAACATTCTACCTTATATTTTCTCCATTTGCATCACTTTTATTTTTCTTCAACCCACAGAATATCTTTATCTTAATGTTCCTAAGTACTGGGCAATAACCTTTCTCCAATCAAATAATAGAAGACAAAATTAATTCAAACTTGATTTTATTTTGTTTAACATGATCTGCTGATCACTTTCATCATGGCCTTTTTCACATCCTTGTTCCTCAGACTGTAGATCATGGGATTCAACATGGGGATCACTGTGGTATAGAACACAGCCACCATCTTCCCCTGCTCCACAGACTCCTCTGTGGGACGTCTGAGATACATGAAGATCAGAGTACCATAGAATATGATGACAGCTGTCAGATGGGACCCACATGTGGAAAAGGCCTTCTGCCTTCCTTCTGCTGAGCGCATTCGCAGAATGGCAATGAGGATGAATAAGTAAGAGATGATAATTACAGTCAGGGAATATGTGAAGTTGATGCCGGCAAGTATGAGCATTGTATATTCTTTTACAAAGGTCCCGGCACAGGCCATTTTGATGAGAGGTGGATCTGCACAGTAGAAATGGTTGATCTCAATTTTTCCACAGAAGTACAAGCCATAAGTCCATAATGTTGCTGTCAGACTCGTCAGAAAACCATAAATGTAAGGGAAAGTAATCAGTCGAATACAGACATCCCTTGACATTTTGCTGCCATAAAGCAAAGGATTTCCAATCACTGTGTATCTATCAAAGGCAATCGCAGCAAGAATAAAAATTTCCACATGGACAAGAGCAATGAAGAAGAAACACTGTGCTAAACAGCCAGCATAAGAAATTGTTTTTTTTTTTATCTGATAACAGATTTTCCAACATTTTAGGGGTGACATTGGAAGAAAACCACACATCAACAAATGACAAGTGACTGAGGAAAAAGTACATGGGGCTGTTAAGCTGAGGACTGACCTTGATTAACAACATCATGCCGATATTGCCCACCACGGTGATAATGTAGACCACAAGAAAAACGATGAAGAAGAGAACTTGCCATTCCCGACGGCTCGTTAGCCCCAAAAGAATGAACTCTGTCACATCGGTGAAATTGAGCATTTTCTCAATTCTACGTCAATATGAGTTACAAATCTTCATAATAACTAAAATAAAATAAAAAATTAGTATTTTTCATTTATTAATTTACACCTTTATCTGTGCTCCTTTTATATAATATCTATGATCACACTTTGACATTATTATTTTCAGCAAATCTTTTCTCAGCTACTGTTATGTAATAGGCTCCACAATGAATAAATGTAGACAGTCCCTATTATATAACCGTTAAACAAAGTTTAGTGGCTGAAATACACTGGTAGTAAGTATTGTGAGTAGTCAAATTTCTAAGATTACTTCTAAATATCCCTCATTTCCAATAATGGCATGTTTGGAGTTTCATATTTTTACGATAATTATGGGGGATTATACTTCTTTTTGTAATAGGACTAAACAAGTCTGCTTTTTAAACCTAATCTCTTTCATTATTAGCATATTCTCAATGATTAGAGAAAAAAGCCATATGACGAAATAATTCATCAGCCTAAAGTGTTATCAAAATATTTTTAACCTAATCTCATATTTGCATTCTTTTCAAGTGAAGAACAAAAAGCAGATGACAGTAGCCATCAAAGTCAAGTTAAAGGGTGAATTATTTGCCCATGTTCACACTATATAAACATATCCTGGATATGGACTCCCAATTCTAACATGAAATTATCATCCACTAGATATCATGTACTTCTATGTTCTAGAGATTCAAAAATAAGTAAAACATACAGATTACTGTCAGCATTTATGAAGGTACTAATGTAAATAAATACTTTTTGAAACTTGGATGTATTCTTATAGAGTTATAATAAGGACAGAAATTTAGGAAGGGATTGATTCTTCTTTGGGAATTCACTGGAAAGTTTCTTTGATATTTTGGAAATTTATTTTCAAACATAGGATATATTACATTTGAAAAATTTTTTAGAAAATATTTCTCAAATTATGTTTTAAGTATATTAGAAATATAATTAGTGCTTTGCATGATGTTAATAGATATAACAGAGAATAATCCACAAGTGTTCCTCCATCAAATGGGACATCTTTGTGCTCTGTCAAATCTCTTAGTAATTCACAGCCTCCCTAGTAAAGTTATTTACTCTACACATCATTCATGTAGCTTACAAATTTACATGCACACACACTCACACTCACACACATGTCTATATATATATGTCTATACATATGTGTGTATATACATATACACACACCTATATGTATATTCTCATACTTATAGCTTATATATTTCTCTCATATATATATGAGAGAAATTCCATGAATTAGATATTTTGTCAATGAACATTCACATTCTGCAGAACAAAAAGTGTAAATCAATCTAATAAGAATCTTGAGACAGCCTTTCAGCAGGACAATATATTTGTTGGAGATGGGGTTGTTTCATACCTTCTGATGGCTATATCATCTCTAGAGCAAACGATTATTCCCAAGACCCTTCTTGTAATCTGCAGTATTAAACTATGTTCAACCACAAGTTGACGAAATTTATCTATAATTATTACTGGCTAGCAGTTACCAGAAAATTTAGAAAGCAGGCAGGAAGGTAAATCTCATTGCATAGTGAAAATAAGTGCAAACTTATCCACAGTGAAAATCCAAGTTTTCAACCACCAAACTTGGAAAGAACATTTTTCTATGGATAGAGGAGAAAATTACTAACTGAAACAGAGTACATTCTACATGGCTCTAGAGGTTTGGTTTAATTCATAAAAATTTGAGGCATTAATTATTGGGTAAATTTTTACGAATGAATAATTGTTAAAGTTCTAAAAATGATATAAAGCGCCTTAGAATACATTTATGTATAGGCTGCAAAATCTCTTATAGTTTTGTTAAAATAGTCTCTAAGATCCTTAGATTCATGACTGAACAGAGATTACAGACATGTCCACAGATAATTCCAGATTTCTGATTCAACAGTTTATGCCTGCAGCTGCCTGAAATATTCTTCTTTATGTAATTTTCAAGACTGGCAATAGAGGGATTCTTACTTGGAAAATCATATCTCATTCTGTAGTGCTAAGGATGATTCAGCACAAACAAGAATGTAGAAGATGGCATTGTTAGTACTCCCCATAAACTAAATACAAATAGCCCTGAGTGATGGTTATCCAGGTGATGAATAGCAATAGTAAAATTACAGGAAACTAGGGGTTAGATATGATCCTAGGGGTTGCAAGGTGTACAAAGAAATAGAGAATTGGGGACCTCAGGAGTATTTAGAGGATTTCCTCACCACCTAAATCAAAAATACACACATAACCTCCCCTTATTGAATTACTCTATTTCAAATTCAATTACCAATAAATATGGATTCTCTTTTAGACCAGGTATGAAGCAATATTAAGTATCCCAGTCAGGCCAGGCGTGGTGTCTCACGCCTCTAATGCCAGCATTTTGGGAGGCTGAGGGGGTTGGATTGCCTGAGGTTGGAGTTCAAGTTCAGCCTGGCCAACATGGCGAAATTCTATCTCTAAAAAATACAGAAATTAGCCAGGTGTGGTGGTGCACTCGTCATCCCAGCTACTTGGGAGGCTAAGACAGGATAATCACTTGAACCCAGGAGGCGGAAGTTGCAGTTAGCTGATATTGCACCACTATACTCCAGCCTGGGCAACAGAGCGAGACTCCATCTCAAAAACAACAGCAACAACAAAAAAGTATCCTAGTTAAAAAGTTCTGTTTCTATTGTCAGACCTTGGTTGGATCCTGGCTCTATGACTTATTTTATAAAACTGAACATGTTTTATTCTAGTTTTTTGTTTTGTTTTTAAGTTTCCTGTTCCTCAATATGACTTAATAGTATCAATTTCATTGCGTGTTTGACTATGTTGACTATGAAAAGAGGCATTACATATTAACACATAATAGATTAAAAAATAATTATCAGATGTGCTCCATTAATCATTTGTAATTATCAAATAATATAATTTTATTGAAAAAATCTCTTTTATGTATCTCTCTCACACCCTACACACATAACATAATAGATAAAACTGTGAATGTATTCGTATAAATCGTAGAGGAAAATAAAATCTACAATGCAAGCTCCATCTAACAATTCTAGATAGATGCATTTTTCACCAACCTGAGAATGAAGAGAAGTCTCTCCAATAAAGGTGCAGAGTTGTAAAGTTCATGCTATATATGAGAATGGTAAACACTTTCAACCTGACAAAAGAGAAACTGGGAGAAGTGCAAAGGAGAAGCCTCCCTTGTTTTCCTTAGAAAGCATAAAGCAATTAAGAATTTTTTCCTTAAAAATGACCCTGTGGGAAGTACATCTCTAGAGAAAAAGCCAACTGTTGAGTTTGTGGTTTTTGTTGTTTTTTTTTTTTTTGACTTTTCTACAATACTATATTCCCCCAACTCCAGTTTTTTTGAATGGGTACTAGAGTTAAATAAAATTTGGGAGGGGATTTTTATCATACTAAACCTGTTTATACTGTTACTCAAACTGTACATATCAATTTCATGCTCTATACTTCACATTCTCTGCCACTTGGGTTTTCCAGGGAAGATGAGTCAAGCGTTATTTCCTATAATTAAAATTATAGCAAATCAAAGCAGAAAACAAAATCTGTTTTCTTCAATTTCCTCATTTTATAAATAATAAAAATACTACTCCAAGTAGTAGTAATAATAATAGCAACAATAATGCATTTTTGAAGTAGCATACTTCAAATATTTGTGCTAATTTAATTATTGTAACTCAACCCTGAGGCAATTACTCTCACTCTCATCTTATAGACAAAAAACTGAGTCTTTCAGAGGTTCAGTGACTTGATCAATGTCACACTTTCAATGAATCAGGAACTAGATTCCTGATTCCAGAATGTGTACCATTAACCATCTCATCCTTTTGTCCGACAGATAACCATTACAAGGCAAGGGACCAAATTTCTTATTTCCTAATCCTAAAACACTCTCCTTTTCATTTCATAAGTGGTGTACATGATGCATTGTATCATAGTCTTTATGGACTTAAGGGAACACAAATCTGTGTTTTGTATAGCCAAAAATTGTGGATTGTTTTGGTGTCATATGCAATTGATCACTTTACTTGGGTGCCTGATAATTTACTCCCACAGCTCAAACTTGTCCCCTCTTTTGGCCTCCCCACTGCACTCCATTAACACCAGCCATGTTTACATTCCCCCCCCCAACACACAAAAAATGTTGATTCTCATTCATTAAGCTGTGGAGAAAATTGCTGGTTTCTCCTCACATCCATTATTCCTTCTCCATGGTAATACAATTTTAATTAAAGGGCCATTGACTGAATTGCCCCAGCCCAGCCCCAGTACTTATAACAGTATTTAGCACATGGTAGGTGCTGACAAAATATTTGTTAACTGAAGAAATTTGTTAAAGTGATCAAGTTTTCAATCAATGACCAGATACACAGAAGAGGTATATAGCTAAATCTTCCTAAGTACTTCTCAGAATAATGTTGAGATGTTTCAGGCACAAAATGAAGTTGTAGTTTAACACTGAAGAACTTTGGTTAAGACTGTGAAAGTTAGAGGTCTGAGTGCATCTAGAGAGAATAATCACTGGCATGAGAGAATAATTGTGCTATCTATTGCCAGGAGTTTACTATCCACAGAGGTCACATTTTATTTATTTATTTATTTATTTATTTTGAGATGGAGTCTTGCTATTCCAGGCTGGAGTGCAGTGATGGGATCTTGGCTCACTGCAATCTCCGCCTTCTGGATCAAGCTATTCTCCTGTCTCAGCCTCCTGAGTAGCTGGGATTATAGATGCGTGCCACCACACCCAGCAATTTTTTTTTTTTTTTGTATTTTTAGTACAGACGGGGTTTCACCATTTTGGCCAGGATGGTTTCGATCTCCTGACCTCCTGATCCGCTCGCCTTGGCCTCCCAAAGTGCTGGGATTACAGGCATGAGCCACTGAACCTGGACGGGCCTCACATTACCTACGATTCTCCAAACACAGACTGTTTTTCAGTTGCAAATTAACTAATTTTTATCTGTACAAATATTGTGTTAGGGTTAATTTTCAAGGTCAGTCTACAAATCGCTAAATAGCCTCATGTGATTTTTCTGGGTTTTATGTTGTAAGTGTGGTTATCAGTTACTGTGATAAGCTGTGAGAGCCAGCTATCTAACATAGAGAAATCCAGATAAGACTCATTCCATATAGCAAGAAAGTAAGCTTTTCTTATTCTAGTCCTAATTAAAGTCCTCCCCAAGATAGAAAGAAGGTAACTTAACTCAAGAGTTGCTTACTTGAGTTATGCAAATGTTGTCTTCTCTTAAACACTTCCTGGAGGCTCCCATGTAAAATTAATAACCTCTACTCCTGCATTTTGACAGCCCTTAGCTCAGATTGCTCATGTCGTAGCTACCACATTTTATTACAGTTCATTTTAAGTGCATGTTTCATAAGGCTAGACTATGAATAGGTTGAAACCGAACACAGTGTCTTAGTCGTTATTGCATTTTTGATGATTATATAGTATTAAGTATTTTGCTAGGTAGTATAGAAAATACAGTAAGGTGCATAATATTTCCTGTCCTACTTGCTCACATTGGGACTCATACCTCACACACCCAGAAATATACACAGACCACACTGATCCACCAAACTCATCCCATGCCTCTAGCACATACTCCAAGATGCATGCATCTGTCTCAGAGTCCAGGGCAATTTGTATTTTTTAATTTCTTAATTTTATTTTGTAATTTTATGGGTATATAGTAGGTATATATATTTATAAGGTTTTTTATTTGATGTTTGTAGGATTTTATCTATGATTTTTTTAGAAATGGGTGATTAAATTATATGTCACTAAAATTAAATGATATTAATAAATTAATTGAAGTCTCATGTTTTCCTAAATTGTATAAAACCATGCTGTACCTTGATCACCTTGAGCACATGTTCTCAGGACAGCCTGAGGGCTGTGTCATGGGCCATGGTCACTCATATTTAGCTCAGAATACATTGCTTCAAATATTTTACAGACTTTGACTCTTTTTGCTTTCCTGACAGAATCACTTCTTTATGGTCATACCTCTTAATACCATCAAAATAGCAATTAAATTTCAACATGAGATTTGGAGTCAACATTGAAACCATAGCACACAGCCATGTGAAAATGGAGGCAGAGATTGTTACTATGCTACCACAAGCCAAGGAATGCCTGGGATTACTAGAAACTAAAAGAAGAAACAAACGATTCTCCTCTAGAGTTCAGAAAGGAGGATGGCCTTGCAGAAACCTTGATTTGGGGTTTCTAGCCTCCAGACCTGTGCAAAAACACATTGTTGTTGTCTTAAGTCATTCAGTGTGTGGTACTATGTTATGGCAGCTGAAGAAACTAATACTTCACTCTTCAGTTTAGAACTGTCATTCATATCAGCCTTTATTAGTCTCCTTCTCTAAAGCCTAGGAGGGTGGGCTGTTTTTTCCTTCTCCTCTGGGATCTCTTCAAACTGATCCAACTCTTGGACTGTGGTTTTTCTATACCTCAACTCAATTTAGGATGCTACCTAGTAGTGATGGGGACAGAGGGCAGCAAAATTCTAGACAGATGGGGCAGGTCCCTAGTGAATTCCCACCTCAAGCTGAAAAGCTTGAGACCATGGCCCAAAGTGAGAACTTCCATCCTTGTATTCCTGATGGAACGTTTGCTTTTCCTAAACTATCCATGGCCCAGCCCTGCCCCGTCCTGTGCCTATAAAGACCCCAGACTCAGCCGGCAGAGTGGATAAGCAGCTGGATGTTGGGGACTATAGCTGGACATCAGAGAGAAGTGGCTTGACTTCAGCTTGATGGTGTAACTTTGGAGAAGAATCCAGCTGGAGTGGGCTGGACTTCAGAGGAAGATTACCTACCCTCCCCATCCTCTTCTCAGCTCCCCTTCCCACTGAGAGACACCTCCACTGGCAATAAAATCATCGGCATTTACCATCCTTCAATTCACTTGTGTGACCTCATATTTCCTGGACGCTGGACAAGAACTCAGGAGCCATGATTATGGATACAAAGGGCTGTCACACTCGCCTTTGCCCTCCCTGGTGGAGGGAAGCCACAGGCCCAATGAGCTGTTAACACTTAAGCTATCCATGGAAGACAAGCTGAAAGAGCACTGTAACACACCCTCTGGGGCTTCAGGTGGTGTCACAGGCACCCAGCCTGAATGCTGCCGTGTAGCCTGCACAGAGTTCACTCCTGCTGGTGCCCAAAATTGTTTCTCCAGCTCCTGCATGTGTTCACCTGTGCACTCTCTCCCATGAAGAGTGGAATTCATTGGGGACCAAGTAAAGGGAGTTTGATCTCACCAGCACTGAAAAAGCCAGCTGGTCCCAGTGCTCCTGCACTCCAGTTCCTGCCTCGCTCACTCCTGCACTCCTCCAACAAGGAGTTGAGAGTGGCAGGCTGAGTAAATGAGGCACCCCTATGGCGAGTCCTGTGAAGGCGTCAGGGAAGTATCCTGCTTCAGTAGAAGGGCAGTAGAATCTCTTTTCAACGATTCAATAGCCTTTAAATCCTACCCACATTGCCAAATTCAGGTTCAACCCTTATTGCCTATGATTAGAAAAATCGTTATTTTGTCATTATAAGTGTGTTCTCACTCTGGCTTCAAAATTTATTTTCTGCTTTTTACACTACCTCTGCAAAATAAACTTTCGAGCCTGAATGTCATAATTATAGCTCATTCCTTTTGTCCAGAATTTGTACCTTGACAGTAATTCATTTAGAACACTTCCTTTCTGCTTTTATGATAATGTTCAGATTGGGTAAGGCAGATATAAAAATGCTTTTAAAAAATACATAATTTAATACAATAATATTAATGTCTTCACATTAGTATCTAAATTTAACCATAAAACCTGTTTTAAGATAACTTGAACTAACTTAAGCTAATGTGATTTTCAAAGACTTCTCATTAATTCCTAATACAGCAATTTTTGCCAATATTTACTAAAATATCATATGAGATTGTTATGTATAGCACACAGACATTTTGGTATTTTCAATATTTGAAAATATATAATATTTGTTGCTTTCTATTTGTGACAATTGGCACAGAATTATCACTTGCAGTGGCTATATAAAATTTAGTTTCGGATTTATTTAAATAAATGTGATTTAATTTAAGATAAATATGCTTAGCACACAATAGTCCATGTGATTTGTCAATGTAGGAAAAAAGAATGTGGAAAAAATGTTCTGAAAACACAACTCTAGGCCAAGTTAACACAGTCACATACATATACACACAAACACACATGCACACACCAGCCTGTCATATGTATACAGAGTCAGTGTGGATGTATTGTTCATAGAATAATATATATGCATATATAATATACAAAGTTTTACCATATACAGTAACTTTAGGGGATATTATCTGCCTCATAGGCACTGCTTCTCATGAGTTTTATATGTTATCCACCTTCTTTACAATGTTTCAGAGTTCAGTAATTTCCGTAATGTTCAGAACTATTAAGTAATATAATTAAGGCTTGAAGTCCAGTACATCTAATGTGAAAGTTTCTGTTTTTATATGACCGATTAATTTCAGTCATATAATATGCAAACGTGTTAGGAGGGGACTCAGATGTACCATGTGCTTCCTACATTGTAGAATGAAATGTTTTCCGGGACAGAGCCAGCTTTGAGTTTCTGAGTTTTATGAGCACCATTCACCCAGGAGTTCATAATGTTAAAGCAGCTTTGCCTCTTTTGCCCACCATTCAGAACTGGTTTTGAGGAGTCCATTTGAGAGAAGTCAGAATATTATCTAATTTAACTTAACCAGTGCATGGTACAAATGAGCTTTGACATCAAGACAGTAAGATTCCAAGAGCTACCTTCTTCCTGCTTAGCTAAGGTGCCACCCTTGGAATGCTGGCAAATTTTAAGTACTAATCATACCTGGATCTGAATCATGAGCTTGTTGGTGAGATGATAGCAATAATAGAGTGAATAACAAGGTTAATCAGGTCAGGATAGAAAAGGGATTGTCTGTTACTATAACACACACTTTTAGCATGGCTTTTTTTGGAGTACAATTAACATGTCAGAATGAGTTGCTAAATCCATTCTAACACTATCAGAATACGTAGGTCATAATAATGCAGTATTATAATTCAGAACATGGATTTAATTAAAAACTAAATAAATCTACTGCGGCACAACATATTTTGGCATTTTGTGATTTTTCTCTAATTAGTAAAATAATAAGCTATTATAAAATATTTTATTCTTAACTTGTTAGAAATAATCCAACATTTTTAGAACAAAATACTAAAAAATATGTGTTGAACAAGACAATATGGCTACTGTAAAACTTTTTACTTATTGCTAAATTAACTTTTTCTGATAATACTCCTTAGAGTGTTGTGTCTTTACATGTTGCTTCCAGTTTGTCTCCTTTCATTTTTTTTAAAATAGCTTCCATAGCCTTTTACACCCGCCTCCTCCACCACTCCACTGAAAATCTTACCAAGGCCATACACGACCCCTATGTTGCATAAAACGATTGTCAAGTCTCCATCACATGCTGTTTATCCTGTCAGCAGTATTTGCCAGAGCTAGTCACTCTTTGATTATCTTTCCTTATGTGGATTCCTACACTCTCCTGATTTTCTCCTACTTCTCTGGATGTACCTTCTCGGTTTTATTGCTGTTCCTTCTTCATTGCCTTCTCTTGTTAATATTGGAGAGACACAGATCCAGTCACTTCTCTGCCATTTTGTCTTTTTATAGCTGCACATCTTCCTTTCCTTGATAATTTCATTCAGTTTTTATACACACCACACACACACACACACACACACACACACCTAACAGGTCCTAGAATAACAATCTTTTGTTCAGCATCATTTTATTATAAAGTTGACTAAAAATTAAACATCAATCTTTGGCCAGAGCCACTGTCTGTGTGAAGTTTGCGTGTTCCCCTCATGTCTGTGTGAGTTTTCTCTGGCTAACCTGTGTGTTCCCACATCCCAGAGATGTGCACGTTAGACGAATTGGCACATCTACATGGTCTCAGACTGAGTGTGGGTGTGTGAGTGTGCCCTGCCATGGAATGGCATCCTGTCCAGGATCAGTGCCTGTCTAGTGTCCTGAGCTGCTAGATAGGGTCTGGCTACCTGCCGCCCTGAACTGGAATAAGCAGGTAAATAATTATCTTACTTGCTTTTATTAATGTTTCTTAAATCTATCTATCTATCTATCTATCTATCTATCTATCTATCTATCTATCATCTATCTATCTCACATTTATTTTGTGAGATAATTAGAAGTGTATTGGTATTTATTTTAGAAATTATTCTACCATAAAGACATATGCATGTGAATGCTCATTGCAGCGCTATTCACAATAGCAAAGATATGTAATCAACCTAAATGCCTATCAATGACAGATTGAATAAAGACAATGTGGTACATATACACCATGGAAAACTCTGCAGCCATAAAAAAGAATGAGATCATGTCTTTTGTGAGACTGTAGATGGAGCTGGAGACTATTACCCTTAGCAAACTAACACAGGAATCGAAAACCAAATGCCCTATGTTCTCACTTACAAGTGGAAGCTAAATGATGAGAACTCATGGACACAAAGAAGGGTACAACAGACACTGGGGTCCACTTGAGGGCAGAGGGTGAGAGGGGAGAGAGGAGCAGAAAAGACAACCACTGGATACTGGACTTAATACCTGCGTACAGATGAATTAATCTGTACAACAAACCCTCATGACACAAGTTCACTTATATAACAAACCTTCACATGTACACCTGAACCTAAAATAAAAGTTAAAAAAATCAATTTATAATATATCCAAAAGAATAAAATGCCTAGGAATATGTTTAACCAAGAAAATCAAAGATTTGTGAAATGAAAATTATAAAACATGGCTGAAAGATAATAAAGGTCTAAATAAATGGAAAGTCCTCCCATGTTCATGGATTGGAAGACAGTGTTATTAAGATGGCAATAAAAATGATCTACAGATTCAATGCAATCTCTACCTAGATCCATTTTTTTCCAGCAATGAAAAAGCCAGTCCTCAAATTTACATGAGTTTGAAAAAGAAGAAAAAAAAGAAATTTGGTGATGTTTTTGTTACCAGAAATATGCCGTAGGAAGTTAACTCTTGTTTACTTCAATTAGCTTCTGATAAAATTGATCTCATTATACTTTGTTTTGTGTCAAGTCACAGTTTCCAAGAACCTATCATTGAAATTAAGTGAGGACTGTGTATGTGTGTGTGTGTGCATGTAAAATTTCCCAATTACCTCCTCATCTCAGCACACTCCTCTGAATTCTAGACTCCTATATTCAACATCCTATTTGACACCTTTACTTGGAAGCATATTAAACATCTCAAATTTATTGTCCAAACTGAACTCTTGGTAAACCACCTCAAATCGGCTTCTTTTTAACTTTTCCTAGCTCAGTGCATGGACACTTCATGGTTGCATCAGGCAAAATCCTTAGAGTAAGGCTTGACTCGTGTTACTCCTATCTCACATTCACTCTGGTAGGAATTCTGGCTCCAGCGTACAACTACATTTACCAACTGCACTCATATTCTGTGGTCTTGCTTACCATTTTTTTGTAATACAAATATTTTTCCAAGTAGGTTTGTAGTTTCTATGCTTTCCGCCTACAGTCGACTGTTTTTGTTTTTTTTGTTTTTTTGTTTTTGTTTTAACACTGTAGCCATAATAATCCTTTTAAAAAGAATTGCCTCCGCACAGAAATTCTGCAATGGTTGCCCTGTTTCACCCAAAAATTCAAAGTCCTTATGACAGCCCGTAAAATCTGGCATGATCTGGCCCCTGTTAACTTTCTGATTCTTGATCTCTTAGTGCTACCTTGAAATCACCATTCTTCTATCCACTCTGACCTCAAACACTCCAGGGCCAGGGCAGCCGTGAGTATTTGTACTTGCTTTCCCTTCCTGGAATAAGTCTTTCTCAGATATTGCTATGCTTTCTCTCACTTACTGACACTTCCATGGTTATAAAGTGTGAGAGCCCTGGAGGTGGACTATCTGGCTGTAAATCTGGCTCTGCCATTACCTTCTATAAGAACTTGGTCACATAACATCTCTGTGTCTTATTTTCATCATCTTTAAAAGAGTAACAGTAATAGTAAATGCCTCAAGTGCTGCTTTGAAGACTGGGTTAAACTGTGTGAAGATCTAGAATCCTGCTGTATAAGGATTCATTATAATAGTACTACCACTGTATTCCTTCCCATATACCTTTTTTCTCATAACATTTATCACTATATAATATTTTAAAATTGTTAGATTATTTGATGTCCTTTTGATATTTTATTTTATTTTTTTAGATGGAGTCTTGGTCTGTCTCCCAGGATGGAGTGCAGTGGCGCAATCTCGGCTCACTGCAACCTCTGCCTCCCAGGTTCAGGTCACTCTCCTACCTCAGCCTCCTGAGTAGCTGGATTTACAGGCATACACCACCACACCCAGCTAATTTTTGTATTTTTAGTAGAGATGGGGTTTCGCCAAGTTGGCTAGGCTAGTCTCAAACTCCTGACCTCAGGTGATCTGCCCTCTTCCGTCTCCCAAAGTGCTGGAATTACAGGCATGTTCCACCGTGCCTGGCCTCTTTTTGATATTTACTGTGTCTGCAAACATTTTGGTCTCCTTTTCACTGTTTTCCGTAGTGTCTGACACAAACTAGGGACTCACTATGAAATTGCTCAAATGAAAGAATCTCTTAGAAAGCTTTGACAATTTCACTCACAGAACTGCTGTAAGAATGCCCAATTTTTCCTGCACTGTTATTAAGCATTATAAATTTGCCAAGTTGATTACTTAAAAATGCTGTTTCTTCTTTTATGTGTATATGTTTGATCATTAATAGAAATTGATTTCATGTTTTTTATTCACTTTTTTCTATTTGAGATTGTTCATGATTTCTATGTATTTTCACATTGTTTTTCAGATTTATTTACTGCTTTATAATACTATGTTATTTTAAAATATCGGAATATGTTTTCATTTACTGAAATCTTCTCCTCACTGTTTCCTGTGCATAAATTTTTGTTGTTGAGTTTCAAAATAGAGAAGCTTAAATGAATGCAAATATACCCATTAAGTTCTTTGTTCTCTCCCCTCTTTTAACTCTTCTTTCTCTCTCTTTCCCCTCTTTCCTTTCTTCTCTCCCTCCTATCTTTCCCTCCCTCCCTTCCTTCCTCCTTTCTTCCTTCCTTCCTTCCTTCCTTCCTCTTTTTCTTCCTCTTGGCTATGCTTGAGTTTCTCCATGCTAACATTGTATCAATGTTAATCTGGGGCAATTTTATGTCTTTTAAAAGTATAATTAACTCTTTAATTAGTCATAATTATTTTTATAATAACTATAAATAACTCATTAATCAATAATTTATTTTACTATGGGGAATAAATCAAGGATTCCACATTTTAACTTTATTTATTCTCCATAAAATTGGTTGATGATCAGAGCCTCATTTGGTGTTTAAGACATCTTTTTCTGTTTATTTAAAATAGTGAGTACCTACTATGTGTCAAACACTATATTATATGCTTGAGACACAACGGCAAGTAAATACAGAGAAGACCCATGCTCATATGTCACATATTTTGATGGGGAAGGGATATTAATGCACAGTGAAATAAATTTTCCCAAACTATAATCAATTATGAAAAAAAAATTGTGTTGTACTAGGAGAATGTGTAACAGAAGGGCCTGGTCTAAAATAGAGGTCAGTATCATTCTGTTGAGGTATGATTATGAGTAGGAACTCACAAAGCAATAATAAAATTATTTGAAATACTCCTACAAACCTGGTTTGCTTCTCTGATTTCTGTATTGTGCCATTAACAGAGCGACTCTTTCCCAACTCTTCCATCACAGTTTAAAGATTATTATAGATTGAAAATGACTTACTAAGTGGCAGTGTATTTTCTCACCTAATATTCTGTTTTTTCAAAAAATTATAGTCAAGATCATTCATTATATTTTTCTAAATAAATATCTGTGTATATATACCCCCCGCATATATGTGTATGTGTATATGTATATACACACATAATTTTAGAATCTCTGTTATTTTCTAAAAGAAAATCCATTTTGTTATTATAATTGTACCACATTTATAAATTAACTAGAAGGTAGAATTGAAATATTTATGATATTAGGTATGTTCCTTCATGAAATGTACTGGGCTTCTTTATTGTATGTCCCACAGTAAACCTTTTAAAGTGTCTTTGTGTTAGTCCTATCATTTTTTATTATAACAATATTCTGCTCATTTTCTCCTTAGTATAGTCAGAAGTATTTTTTATTGACAATGATGCAAGATTAAGCTATTACATGTATAGTTGTATGTATATATGCATGTGTATGTGTGTGTGTGTGTGTGTGTATATATATATATATATATTTGTAACTGGCCACATTAATAAAACTTTGTTAATTTATATACATTGTATTGGCTTTTCTATATTGCCCAGAAATAATAGAATACCTGTCTCCTTTTTGCTAATAATTATTTCTTTTATTTGTCTTCTTATCTTTATTGCATTTGGTTTCTTTCTTTATTGCATGTGGCTTCTTACTTCCTAGTCTCTATTTTTCCTACTGCCTACCACCCTCACAAAAATTCTTAGGCTATAATTTTAAAAGAAAATTAATGGAGGTAAAAGGAATCTCTCTCTTTCCTGATTTTCATTAAGACATTTCTACTTTTTCTCCATTAAATATGATAGTGACTACTAATTTGTGACAGATCATCCTTATTATTATGTTAATATTTTTCTTATTTCTGTTCCCTTGGAGCTTTATTTATGATGAGGAATTAATTTTTATTAAACACTTTCTAAAAAAATGTATTAGGGGAATAATGCATTTCTTTCGTCTCATTAATTTTTTGAATCACACCACTAAGTTCAACAATGAAAACTCATTAGCAATTAGAATAATCTTTACATTTAAAAATACCAAGCAAATAGATATAGTGTCTTAAAAATTAATTTAATTTTTTTAACCATTTAATTATATCAGTGATAGCAGCAGGAGGCAGACAAATGCCTAAGCAGATGGAGAGGGTTCTCAGTGAAAGGCCACCTCCATGCCAAAGGCAGCCTGAAAGCCAAGCTACAAGTCAAATCCATGAACCAGATTAAGAAACTGTCTTCCCATCTGGCAAGGTTTTCTCTGATTCATCTTTGCCCATCACCTATTTTACAAATGCCTACCCTTCCCTATTTGTTTTCTTACACTGTCAGGCTCAACTTTGAGTCATGCCTTTGTTTTAACTTTTTTTCATACTCACAAACCAATCAGCACACTCTCCCCTATTCTGAGCCCATAAAAGCCTTGGACCCAGCCACACTGGAGAAACCACCCAACTCAGGGGTGGAGGACCACCCCCTGACACCCATGTCCACTCTCTGGTGAGAGCCATTCTGCCTCTCAAAAAAATTCTTCACTCATCCTCACTCTTCAATTTTCAGCATATCCTCATTCTTCCTGGACATAGGACAAGAGCTTGGGAACCACTGAACATGGGTACAAGCTATAGCACAGGTGGGCCAAGTTGGTGGGGTACCTCCAGCAGCAGGCCCAGGGCTGAGTGAGGCCCACATGTGGGGGCATTGCTGGCTGTGGAGGTCCCTGGATGGCAAAGTGGCCTAGAAAAATCCTGTGTCAATAGTATTGTTAATGTCTATCTTTTCTCTCTGACAATATCCTTTCTGCTGCTAATACATGAGCATTTTTGTTGAAAATATAATCATGTTTGCTAGTGTGGACCATTGCTAATATATCGGCAGTGTGCTTGGCTAATACATTGAAACTGTTCTAATAACTTTTCACAAATTATGTCAACTTACCCTTTATAATAACCCTTGATTTCAGGTTTTAATATTAATAATATATATTTTCTTCTGCTCTTTATTTACATGTGAATAAAATAAGGTCAGTAGAAGGAAGACTAGGTGCTCAATATCACACAAGTTGTGTAAGTTTGAAACAGAGAATATAGTTTTCTCACCACCTCCCCCATATGAACCACATGAATCTTTTAACCATTTGTTATACAGATTTCCATATTAATGTTTTATTTTATTTCTAATTTGAAACTCAGCTTATCTCAGACTTTTTTTTTCTTTTCTCAATTTTTGGAACTTAATATCTAATGCACCTTGTTACAGTCTTTCTTATTTAATTACAAAGTGGTATAGCACTGTGCATGAATAACACTCTGCATATACCTTCATTTGTAAGTAAACACATTCAGAAACAATTATGGCCCTGATGTTCTAAACTGCAAAATTAAGATTTTCCTTCAAGAACATTTATTTTAGTAGTTTTAACTAGAGTGATTTATTTTGATATGTTTTAGTACAATATTTGTTATGCAATAAGATATTTGTGGCCTGTTATATTTCTAGAAAATAATTAGACCATAGTTATAAGCATTTTATCTTAGTTCAGTTTATAATGTATACTCTCAAAATATGCAGTAACCAATGATCTGCCCAACTGTTGAAGCTCATAAATCATCAACCCCATTGAAACTGTGCAGATGTGGCATGTGCTATGTTATATTATTAGCATGTGTGTCTCCACATTTGATATTTATATCCTATCTACATGTGAGTAGGCCTTTAACTGGTTGTCTGTCTTGTATTTCTTGTTCAAGAAAGAATGAAACAGCCCTTAGTTTCCTTTAATGCATTCTAATAGGGCATTCTTACCATAGAACATGTCAAAAATTTTTATTGTGATAAAAGTTGTAGTTTGCCATTGAATGTAAAAAACATTAATTGGTGATTATATTCCCAAATTACTTTATACAGATTAATATACACTGGCTCACCAAAGAATTTAAGAGCACCAGTGTAAAAGGAATTAGTTTAGCAATTCTATTTCTAGCCAGACTTCAAAAAGTCAAAGTATCTGGAAAAATTAAGAAAAATGCCATTTTATGTAACTGCTATTCTTCCTCTGTTGATTTTAATTAAATAATTGCTGATCATTAGGTAAAGAGAAATGAAGTCAGAGTTTGCTTACACATTGATGATGAAACTGTCTCTCTGGGTCTCATTACAAAATTCTTCATTGCAGACACAACTCCTTACCGTAATTGCTATAAAAATTTGATTTACTTACTAATCAGTTTCCAAGGGCCTTATTAAAATGATTGGTTTCTCAGCTTTTTCATGGGGACATATTAACTGGAACCAATCTCAACAAACACAAAGTTTCAACTTTTTCATTAAGATTAATGAATATGCAGTTTAATTTGAAAGTGTTGAGATAATTATCTTCTTCCTCAGGGATGGTCATTTCCTCTACTTCGAAGCACCTTCCTTTGGGAGATAAGGTATTTTAGTGGGAAAAGAAGAGGATTTGGAGCCAAACCTAGGTTTGTACCCAGGGTCTTCTCCTATTTACCCATGCGCTCTTGGGAAAGATATAAACTCAGAGCCTCAATTAAGAAATGAAAATACTACTTACAGCAGAGGACTATTTTAAAATGTACAGTTATAGTGAATATTAAATTACTCTGCAAAATAGAAATTAATGATATATGGATTGTGAATAAAATAACATTAATGATGATGACAGTGTTTAACATTTAGTCAATGCTTATTGTGTCCTACACAAGGTGCTAAAATATTTATATATATTATATCATTAATCTTCATAAAAACATGAAGATATAGGTAAAATGAGTCCACATTTTGAGTAAGAAAAGAGGCTCAGATAATTTAAATACTTTGCCTTAAGCTACAGCTGATAAAAGTGTTAGCGAGAATCCAGATGTGAATATAGATTAGATATTTTTGGCTACTATTGTGCTTATTCCCTCCCTTTCTATTTTATTTTTTCAAAATTTATTCTAAGATACTAAAGCATGCATTATGATTGTGTCTCAGTAAACTGTAACAAATTTGCCATTCTCATGTTATTTGTAATAATAGGATAGACATTGTATTAGACATATAGATAAGAGACAGACAGATATATACATACATACCTACATACATACATGCACATGACAATAATTCTTTGCCTGGTCAAACCTTTGTGTGGCTCCTGAGCCTTCTCCTAAGCCCATCTATGTACCTGCTTGTAAAATTCAATTTTAGCAAATAACCCCGCTAAGTCAGTTTAACAAGAATCCCCCCACCCATGATATCTGATTTCTTTCAATATCTGATCAGGTTCGTTATCTTCCACCATTCTCTACGTAATGTCTGATCATCCTGGCCTGTCTTCTGCAAGAATCCTGTAAGGTTGGTTTAGCCAGAAGCTTCTTTAACAATTATGTTTTCTCTTAGTCATTTTCCACTCACTGACCTCCACTCTGCCCCCTGGCTATACATTTCTACTTGCCCATGCCCTACTCAGAGCTGAGCTCAAACTCTCTCCCCTGCTGCAAGACCCCATTGCAGTCATCCCTGTATCTCTGCCAGTGGTCCTGGATAATTTCTTCCTTACTGTTGTTTAACAAGTGTCATTAGATATTGTTTTTTTCTTTAATACATGCGCACACTTATGCATATATTATTAAATTCCTCAACTAAGACTATCAGTCTTCTAACTATGAATCCCAGTAACACAATCCAGGGAATAGTAAACTAAATACATAAATATCAAAATTTTCACTTTTTTTAAGTTTCATACACACAACCTGTAATTTTTTTTTAATTTTGAATTTTATTCTGTTTTTCTTAATTTTCCCACATTTTAGCCTCTTTGAAAGTTACTAAGTTGTATTTCATTGTGTTAAGCCCCTATTTCATTGAAGGACTTTTTGAAAATGCTACTTCTGATTATATCAATCTTATATATCTGGTTGGTGCAAAAGTAATTGCAGTTTTGCACCATGAATTTTAAATCATTATAACTAGGCTCAAACAAATCTTTATTAATCAAACTAGAAACAACTATAATCAACACATTTTTGCCAATGAGACATAAATTTGCTTATTCCTGTAGTGTAAAAATCCGTGCTTTGGGATTTGACGAACTCTTAGAAAGCATTTTCTGCATCCTGCTGGTTGTGGAAGCGTTTTCCCTGCAAAAAGTTGTCGAGATTCTTGAAGTGGTAGTCAATTGGCAAGAGGTCAGGTGAATATGGCCGATGAGGCAAAACTTCATAGTCCAATTCGTTCAACTTTTGAAGCGTTGGTTATGTGATGTGCAGTCTAGCATTGTTGTGGACAAGAGTTGGGCGCTTTCTGTTGACCAATGCCGGCTGCAGGTGTTGCAGTTTTTGGTGCATCCCATTGATTTGCTGCGCATACTTCTCAGCTGTAATGGTTTCTCCAGGATTCAGAAAGCTGAGGTGGATCAGACTGGCAGCAGACCACCAAACAGTGACCATGACCTTTTTTTGGTGCAAGTTTGGCTTTGGGAAGTGCTGTGGAGCTTCTTCTCAGTCCAGCCACTGAGCTGGTTGTCACCAGTTGCCATATCCACTTTTAATCGCACGTCACAATCCGATTGAGAAATGGTTCGTTGTGTGGAATGGGAAGATGACACTTCAAAATGATGATTTTAAAAAAATTTTTGCTCAGCTCACGAGGCCCCCACTTGTTGAGCTTTTTCACCTTCCAATTTTCTTCAAATGCTGAAGGACCGTAGAATGGTCGATGCTGAGTTCTTTGGCAACTTCTCATGAGGTTGTAAGAGGATGAGCATCGATGATTGCTCTCAATTGGTCATTGTCAACTTCCGATGGTTGGCCACTATACTCCTCATCTTCAAGTCTCTTGTCTCCTTTGCAAAAGTTTTTGAAACTTTTGCACTGTACATTCGTTAGCAGTTCCTGGGCCAAATGTGTTGTTGATGTTGTGAGTTGTCTCTGCTGCTTTATGACCCATTTTGAACTCGAATAAGAAAATTGCTCAAATGTGTTTTTTTGTCTAACAACATTTCCATAGTTTAAAATAAATATAAAATAAACATCAAGTAATAAGTCATTAGCCAAAAAAAAATAAAGCAAGAAATGCGCATTAAAATGATGTATAACATAATCACATTTATTTAAGAATGCATTCCAACATCAAACAACAAATTTCAACAATGCAAAAACTGCAATTACATTTGCACCAACCTACTATATAGCATTATACAGCTTCTGTCTGCTATGGGACTTAGACTACACTCAGAGGTATGACTTATGAGGATTTATGTTGCCATACTCCTTTCTTTGTAACTTCTTTCCCTAATATTTTCCTCCTTGCCTACCACAAAACTTCTCCTTCATTGGCTGTGGCTGCATTTCTTGTCTTTGCACTTGCTGTGTCACTGAAATACTTTTTTTTTTTTATTACACTTTAAGTTCTAGGGTACATGTGCACAACGTGCAGGTTTGTTACGTATGTAAACATGTGCCATGTTGGTGTTCTGCACTCATTAACTCATCATTTATATTAGGTATATCTCCTAATGCTATCCCTCCTCCCCTCCCCCCACCCCACAACATGCCCCGGTGTGTGATGTTCCCCTTCCTGTGTCCAAGTGTTCTCATTGTTCAATTCCCATCTATGAGTGAGAACATGCAGTGTCAGGTTTTAAAGCCTAACATTTTCTTGTCCTTCTAGTACAAGCTCAGAAGTTAACTTCTTAGAAGAAATTTACCATATGCACTCACTCTTCTCCTTACCTGATCTCCAATAGAAAAAAAAAGTTAATTAACCATTTCTCAGTGTACTATCAGTGTCTTCTTGTGTCACTGTTGTATTTTCATACTGTGTTATAATTCTTTCCACATCTGTTTCCCTTATTAGGCTAGGAGTTATCTGAGGACAGGAATTCTGACCGAGTTATCCCTTTCTTTACCTCCAGTGTCTTATATATTATGGTGACTCAGTTTATTATTCTTATTTATTTATTTATTTTAGCAAATAGTGGACCCATTTGAAAGGCATTCAAAAAAACCCTTATAATAATAAAATATTATCATTTTAATTAAATTTTCAAGCCAAATCATTTTATTTCTTTAGGACCTTTTTTTATTTGAATATTTTTGATGTTTAATTCAACATACACTTTACCTAACAGATCCCACTCTAAGTATTTTTTTCCCATTGTATTTTTAAAATTTTTGTCTGCAATACATAGGGGTTTCATTTTTATTAAAATTTCAACATTCTGATTTGTTGATTTCCTTAGATTTTACTGATCACATAACTTGTAAAACATATTTTTATTTTTTCTTTAACAAATCTGTCTTACTTTTCCTTTGTGTAGATTTGTCAGCCTCTATGATAATACTTTTAACAGAGAGGTACTGATATTTCAAACCCCAAACTAATACAACTATTTTAAAAATTGTAATCTTTTTATGTTTTTACTATATAAACTACTTATTATATAAGAAACTATTAAAAACTTTTTATGGACATTTTCAAACAAATATAAAATTAGAAGAATTTTTATAGAAATCCCCCTATAACAATTACCCAACTTAAATTTTTCTCAAAGGTCTTAGAATGCACCCACCCACACCTAAATACATAGAGGTGATATTATTTCTAAAAAAATTCCCAAAGCATTTAATTATCAAGAAAAATGTTAGATAAATTGCAAGGAAATTAGAGAATTATTGGTCAGATTCTTGTGAAGAAACAACCCACAATAATTCAAATAAAGAGAAATAAACAAACATGGGATACTGAGTACCTGGGATCTAACCATGAAACTATTAGCACCTCAGTGGCTGAAGGGACTCAATGGGAATCGAGAACCCAATGATAGGTAGGGTGTGAGTGAGAGGTTGCCTGAAAGGAAATGAGGACAGGGATGCCTCTACTGCCAGGCATCACTTTAGAACTGTGACAGCCATAGTTCAAGAGCAGAGAGAGAGCAGGGCTAATGTATTCTGGCCTCTCTCTCCTCATCCCATCTGATCTCCTGTTACAGGTTCCAATTGGCTGCAACCTATTGAATCCAGCCATCAAGTATTCCTTAGAGATGTAGTCCATGGAAATCAGTAACTTCATGCTTAGAGAAGAGCAAGAAAGAAAAGTGTAAATTAGTAGTTATGTTTCTGGAGTTAGTCAAAGTCCCAGTTCGCTGCTGTGTGGCCTTGAGCAAAGTGCCTGACCTTCCTAGACTTCAGTTTTCACCTTTGTAAATAGGGATGATAATACTACTTATAGTGTTGCCAGGACTAAATATGCTAATATATGGACCTCTTAGACTACTGCTTGGCACAATATGAGTGACTATAAATGAGTTTATAGTCTTATTTACAGTGAATATTATTACCAGAGTGAATATTATTACTACGAAAGACTGTGGTGTCCTATTCTTCACTCATAGATGAAATTAAGAGAGATAATTGTGAGAGCTCGAGGATTCTTGGTTTCCCCATCTGTTTAAATGACCATGTTAAATTAGATGATCTTAGAAGGCCAGATAGAGAATGATGCAAATAATTACTTGTAAGACCTACATTAAGAAATTAAAAGCAAGGTTTAAAACACACTTTTCCTCTCATCTGATTTCAGTTGTGTTTTTGTGTGCTTATATTGTACAGAACAAACTACTTTTAAAATTGACTGATAGATAAGTCAATTTTAAAATATTTATTTTCATTTTTTATAGTAAGACCTGTGCTAGGATGCAGGAATACAGTGGTGAGCAAATTGGAAATGGTCCCTGACCTCACAGATCTTACAATTGACTGAGAGAGACTTAAAATAAATGGTCACAAAGGAGCATAAAATTACGACCTGTGATTAATCCTTCCAAGAAGAGATGCATGATGCTGAGAGAATTGGAAGAGAAACCCAAAATAGTTCAGTTTTCAGCAAAAGTTTCCCTGGTAAATGATGCTTAGTTTGAATACCAAAGGATTGGCAAAAGGGGTGAGAGTAGGGACAACATTTAAGGAGAAAGAAAACAATATTCTGAATCTTGAAGCAGCAAGAAACTTGCAACATCAGAAGAAATGAGAAAAGCTACTGTGGCTAGAACAAAAGTGAATTTGAGGGAGAGCAAGGTAGAGCTGGAGAAGAAAGTCTTAGATCATGCAGGAACCTGAATACGATTGCATAAAATTTCATCTTTATTCTAACAATATTTGGAAGTCATTAAAACTTCTTAAATCAATATGATTATTCAATGGGGTTTATGTTTCAATAAATTTATTAGAGACTAATTAAAATGATATTTTAGCCATTTTAGAAAAGATGATGTTAGTTGGGATTGGAGGATGGCAACGGAGAGGGAAGGAAAAGCATGAATAAGGTGAACATCTAAGAGGTAAAAAATTAGACATAAAATGGGGGAAGTAAGGAAGACAAAGAAGTGAAGGATAAATACTAGCGTATGACTTGCCTAGTAGGATAGACAATAGGGATAAAGCACACAGGACAACGACTAAATTTGAGGTCAAGATATTGGGAACTTGGCCTTGGGAATGTAGAATTTTAGTTGCCTTTGAGCCATGCAACTTAAACTCAATACTAGGTATTTGGATATAGAGCTCTGAAGCTACAGGAAGTGGTAAGATAGAGAAACAAATGTAAGAATCATTGATAATTGAAGTTGTGGGTATAATAAAACAGTCTACAAAAATGAGGAATGGGAAAAACTAACAGCTGAACTGAGGATGCCAAATCTGCAATTAGTGAGGTAAGAGAAAAACAAAGAAAATGTGGTGGCATCACACAAGACAAGTGAGACATTGTACAACATTTCCAAATTTCAGAAGAAATTCAGCTAAGAATGGACAATTTTCCATTGTATATATCCATAGTGAGACAGTAGGTTAACCTAGAAAGGATTGGTCTCAGTGATAAGTGGGAAGCTGGATTTGAAAGAGCAAAGGATTATGAAAAATTGGAAACAATAAACAACTTTTTTGAGAATTCTGACTAGTGCTACAGGTTGTGTTTTACATCCACATACCTAATTCATATATAATAGTTTCTTAGTTTGTAATTTGAGAAGAAGCTGAACTTCACCATTAATAACAAATAATATATTTTTCAATATTGATTTAGAAAAAGCATGAAATGAGGACTTCTTTTGTTCAGGTATACTTTTTTTTTCTTTCTTCTTTTTTTTCTTTTAATTTTTAGGTTTATGGGTACATGTTCAGGCTTGTCATATAGGTAAACTTGTGTCACAGTGATTTGTTGTACAAATTATTTTGTCACCCAGGTACTAATCCTAGTACCCAACAGATAATTTTTCTGATCCTCTCCCTCCTCCCAACCCTCCACCTTCAAGGAGGTCCCAGGGTCTGTTGTTTGCCTCCATGTGTCCCTGTATTCTCATCATTCAGCTCCCACTTACAAGTGAGAAAAGGTTGTATTTGGTTTTTTGTCCCCGTGTTAGTTTGCCAAGGATAATGGCCTCCAGCTTCATCCATCCATCTTTTATATGTCTCACATTTCCTTTATTCAGTCTACCACTGATGGACACTTAGGTTGATTCTATGTCTCTGCGATTGTGTATAGTGCTGCAATGAACATATGTGTGCATGTGTCTTTACGGTAGAAAGAAGTTCTTTTTTTTTTTTTTTGAGATGGATTCTCGCTCTGTCACCCAGGCTGGAGTGCAGTGGCGCCATCTCGGCTCACTGCAAGCTCTGCCTCCCGGGTTCACGCCATTCTCCTGCCTCAGCCTCCCAAATAGCTGGGACTACAGGCGCCCGCCACCGCGCCTGGCTAATTTTTTGTATTTTTTAGTAGAGACGAGATTTCACCACGTTAACCAGGATGGTCTCGATCTCCTGACCTCGTGATCCGCCCGCCTCGGCCTCCCAAAGTGCTGGGATTACAGGCGTGAGCCACCGCGCCCGGCTAGAAGTTCTTAATGTACTACAAAATCAATGTCTTCCAATGTTCTAAAGTGATATAAAATTTAAAAATAAGGGTATAATCCTTTATATTGAAAGATGGTTTTAGAAGATGTAGAGAGACAAATCAATCAGAAAAGATAGATTCAGTGGCAAAAAGAAAAAAGGTATGAACAGTAAGAAAACATAATGAGATGAGATGTAGAACTTAGAATGATGAGTCATATATGTGTCTGTATGCATATACATGGGTGGTGGGAGAGAGACAGATACATGAGGAAATGAATTTTGAGGAGTATGTAGAAATCATTTTCATTGAAGACAGCATAATGTACACCAGAAAGATTTAATAAATTTTCCACCTAGATAGAGATTGAAACTGGTAGTAACGGTTTTGGTTTTCTTGTCAGCTTTTGGAGTATCTTTGTTTTATTTGTGGTTCTGATTCTGTCTTGCTTATTAAAACAGATATCTTTGAACATTTACTGCCTACCCGACAGTTTACCGAACTTTTCACATACATTAACTCATTCAGTACTCTCAAAGACATTATAGAGAAGGTATAATTTTACTTCATTTTAAAATTGAGGAGATTGAGGCTCAAAAAGTCATAGACCTTTTCCCAAGATCTCATAAGTAAGTTGCTCAGGATTTAAGTGTTCATCTTATTGTTTCACAAAACTTGATTCTTAATAAAAATGAACTGGGTGTTATGGTTTATTATATCATTTCCAGTAGTAGATCACACATTTGCCCTCATGGATATGTATATAAGTATTTTTGAAGTATGACTGTCTCAGGAATACAGGTAGTTTGAAGGATTAAAAATTTTTTTCAATGTAATTTGTCCAGCTCATCTCACATTGAGAGAAACATAGGAGGAAACATCAAGCTTTCAGATACCTCTAGAGGTTCAAGTTTAGATCCAATGGGACCTAGGAACTAATAAATCATCTGAATAACTTCTAAATGAGCTCATTAGGAGTCAAGATCACTGCTAAGCAGGTAAGTGAGTCTTTATATGGAGCCAAGAGGCATCCCTCCACCCATGCCTCAGATCCTCATTAGAAGCCTCTCTCTTCGGTAAGCTTTAATGTTAAATGGATTCAGACTGCATCCTAACTGTATTTCATACCTTCACACTGTCTGCTTTTCCAGAACTGTCTAAAGGATATCTATTCGTATTTAAAATAATACTTCATTGCTGTATTTTAAATTTGTATTTGAAATAATACTTCACTGCTGAGGCAGGAGAATCTCTTGAACCCGAGGGGCGGAGTTTGCAGTGAGCCAAGATCGCGCAATTACACTTCAGCCTGGGCAACAAGAGCGAAACTCCGTCTCCAACAAAATAAAATAATAATAATAATAACAATAAGAATACTTCGTTAATCCTCAGTGCTATCTCTCTCTCTCCTCCTTACAAACATACACACACACAAACACGCTCTCTCTCTCCCTCTCTCTCTCTTCTTAAATGATGACATGATAAGTCGAGCAGAGAACCTCTTAGAATTTACCATGCTTTCTGCAATAGTTCCCACAAAATAAGAGTTGTTACTATATGGACGATGGAGGAGAGAGATGTATGCGGATGTGATTTTCTGACTAAAATTCTTAGGAAATTCATTTACCAAGAATGGCCCTCCTTAAGTTCTGGAAATGAGATTTTTAATAATCCATCCTTAGCCTTGGCAAACACTGAACATAAGGTAAAATTTTCCCTTCTAAATAAGAATGAATACTCACTATACATTTTTGAATCCTATAACACAATAAAGTAGAAACCTATTGGCATATCATTTACCGAATATTGCTTCTCAGGTGAAGTATTCAGCTTTAACCAGGGCTCCAGTGTAATCCAAATCAAACCAGGGCTTCCCAACCTTTTTCCATGCCATATCATGCCATTTTTGCATGCGTTAAGTTACATAGAGGGAACACCAATGGTTCAAGATGTCCTCAGGTCTGAACACCTATAGCACACTGGTGGCGCACAGGGTGCCCCTGCAGCCTGTTGCTAAGATCTGGTGAAGAAATCAAGCTTGTTGCAGTCCTGGAATGAAGAATGCTTGGCCTGAAAAAGCCCTGAACACCCTGATAAAGAACAAGGTAGAACATGAATAGCACTAGGCAGTGAGTAAATCAGAAAATGTCTTGATGTTTTGATTGATAGGGCAGTGGAAAGGCAAGAGGAGGTCTCCATTAATCTTTTGCTTTTCCGTTATTGAATATATTTTTCTATGCAAAGCATTGCCATTGTATTAGATGCCAAAGTGTTTAAAACCTGAGATATATGTCTCTAATTCTTAAGAAGCAAGGCAAGCCCTTCAAGAATTAGTGTTTCAGAGAGAGATATAATTCATGTTGCAACTGAGTTTTGAGAATCTAGATGGGCAAATATAACCTACGGAGATTTGAAGATAGCAAAATAAATAAAACTGCTTAATTTTAAAGAACTAGCCAACTATCAGAAAGGCCTAAAAAAGACAATTGCTAATTAATTTTGGTACTCACCAAAATAATTAGAAAAACCAATATTTTCTTCAACATGCATGGTTAAGTGAATATCTAAAATTTTCGTCCAATAGTTTAAAAAGGTACTAAGATGTAATTTTTCAATGCTGTAAATATTGGCATTTAAAATTAAATATAGATTTAAATGAATGCCTAAAATTAAATGTATCTTAATATAAAATAATTAACATAACCTATATTTTTCTAATTTTGATGAGTGATGATTAAATATAAATTTAACTTGTTGAAAATTGTCTTATTAATGAGATGGGAGTCATATTAATGGTGTCTTGATAAGAAGGATTATCCAAATGCTGAAGTCTTTTAGAATCCAGGATATTTTTTACACCTGGGGGCAAGAGATCATAAGATTCCAGATGGATGAAAAGTATGCCTTTTGTTTATAACATGGGAAAATGAATGATTTTGAAAATAGAAAACCAAGGAGAACCAAGAGCACAGGTACTTTCTCAATCAAATCATTTTCAGAAAAATGGAAAGATAGAAATAGAGGAACTGAAGATTAACTTTCTTAAGACTATTTTTGTGCAGTTGGGATTTCACTGACATGGTGGAGTGTTGTACTCAAACTAATTCACAGGTTAGGCAAACAAATCCCAAAAAGAAATTTTGAAAATATTTCCAAAAAATTTTAGATATTTTGAAAATTTTGAAAATATATCTGAACTCTGGTTGCCATTCCAAAAATCAAATTTGCTCTTTAGATTACTGATTCTCAAACATGGTTGTACATTAGAATCACTTGGGCCTCGGTGCCTCCAAGATGTTCTGAATAAATGGTATTGGATGCCCCAGTATTGTCATGTTAAGAGCTCTAGATGATTCCAATATGCAGTAAAGTTTAAGGCAAAACTTGCTTTAGGAAGATGAAGTGAAGGAAGAAACATTAGTGCTCATGAAATAACTCTTGGTTTGAAATATGGAATTGATTTTAGATTTCCCCTAAAAATAGGTAAAGATATGAAAATGACCAAATGGGTGGTGAGACTTTGGGATGGTGATTAATTCAAAAAAACCCAGACAAATGAATTGGAGGCTATGAAGAAAAACTGCTTTTAAAAACTTAGAGGAATTAATAAAATAATGTACAGAGTTGTAAGGTAGATACAAAATCATAAATGCTGTATTTTTATGAGCACTGTAACAGATTTTTATAAGTAATTTTATTTCTACGTGATTTTTAAGTTTATTGAATTTGGAATGTAAACTCCAGTTTAATATCCAACTTCGCTGTGGACTTTGTTTTTCTACCATAATGTGCTGTATGTATCTACTTAAACTTAAATATTCCATGTTACCTAATAGCACGTGTCCACCATAGTTAACGTTCTTACTGATACATCTATTTTCTCATGTGGCTTTTTCTCATTTGGTGTGACATGTACCTTGGAACCACCACAAATCTTGAAGTTATATAAAAGCAATAACACAAGAAGTGCTAACATATAGATGGACTTCATTAAGTAAAAAATAAAGTGAAATAAATGGTAGATAAACCTCTTTCCCTGACACTATTTTTCAGTGAAGGTGGTCTATTTACTTTTACATTGTGGGATAGCCTTATAATTATCCTCAATTAGGGTTCAAATTATAACTTCACAGCTCGAATTGACATAAAATCCTTTGTGAAAAAAAATTGAGCATATTCAAGTCCCATATGTAAGTCAGATAATTCTCACTTTTGAATATTCATGAACGAAACAGTTATTTACTGAGAATAGCAATATATATGTATATATGTATATGTCTATGCATCTGTGTGTGTGTGTGTGTGTGTGTGTATATATATATATATATATATATATATATATATATATATGTTTTAGGAGTCTTCTATTTTACTTTGACCTAGTATATGAAAACTTAGCAATCTTTGGAAAACTACAGTTTTCATGTTTGTCTTCTGTAAGCTTTAAACATTTAGTTTGACACTTTAGCCTCGTTCTTCCATCCATCCCGGCGATTAAAGCTTAAGGAACAAACCACTACACTTGGGCAGCATAAGGATGATTAGAAATATGGGCTCTGCTGTCAGTTATACATAGTCACACTAATACTCTGTGACCATCACCAGAAAGTCGGATTTTTCCAATGTTTATAAGGAGTTATGGGTGAGAGCCTTCCTCATAGGGTAAGCAAGAGACTATCTTAATTCATGTAATGCACTCAGAATATCTGATAAGGACATCACTCAATTGCAATAGATAAAATAATAATAGTACTAATCAATGGAATATGAAAGACAAAGTGGTTAGATATGATGATCTCTCAAAGCATTTTCTAGTTAATATTTCATGATTCTATTTTTTGAAAAATAAAGCCAGGACCAAATTAAAGTTTAAATAGGCTAATATTGGGCTTAACAAGATGAATCCTCTTTTTTTCAGGGCTGGTAGAAATACAAATAATTATAATTATCCTAAAAGATGCATCAAAAACTCCACCCACCAGTATATGTTTCCATAAAACTTTTTACAACTGAATGTTTCCTTTCTCATATTTCTGATCAAATTTCTTTCCATTTCTACAGCATAAATTACTTATTCTATATAAATGTGGGAAGGAATATAGCAAATTGAATAGTTCATAGGAGCTCTAAAATTATTTTGATCTATTTTTGACATATTTTATGGAAGCACGCACAAAACCGAAAAATAAGGAAATATAAATGTGGTCACGTCTATAAATTCAATATTTTTGTTCTGTTATATATGCATGGAAAATATATAAGATTTTTAATGGCAGCAAAAACATTGAAATATTAGTGTCAGTTGTCACAAGCGGTTTCATACTATATAATTTTAACCAACATCTTCTCTTATTTTCTAAAATTACAAAGCAAAATATTTCTTAAGGTGGTCTATTTACTATTCTGCAAGTAAAAGACTCCCCTCCCTCAGGCAAGATTGGCCTCTGTCATTAGAGAGGTAAGATGTATGTTTTTGCCCACATGATGATATGATTCAAGGCAAGAAGACAACAATCATCACCTTTACCCAACACTGACAGGGAACATGAGAAGTATCTTTTTTATTTTTCAACTGCGACAAAATCTACAAAACCTGTTAGGATAAATGGCTGAAGTTAATATCATTTATGTCACTGTATTCATTCTGAAAGGAATTACCAACCGGCCAGAGCTTCAGGCCCCGTGCTTTGGGGTGTTTTTAGTTATCTATCTGGTCACAGTGCTGGGCAATCTTGGGTTGATTACTTTAATCAAGATTGATACTCGACTCCACACACCTATGTACTATTTCCTCAGCCACCTGGCCTTTGTTGACCTTTGTTACTCCTCTGCTATTACACCGAAGATGATGGTGAATTTTGTTGTGGAACGCAACACCATTCCTTTCCATGCTTGTGCAACCCAACTGGGTTGTTTTCTCACCTTCATGATCACTGAGTGTTTCCTTCTAGCCTCCATGGCCTACGATTGCTATGTCGCCATCTGTAGTCCCCTGCATTATTCAACACTGATGTCAAGAAGAGTCTGCATTCAACTGGTGGCAGTTCCATATATATACAGCTTCCTGGTTGCCCTCTTCCACACCGTTATCACTTTCCGTCTGACTTACTGTGGCCCAAACTTAATTAACCATTTCTATTGTGATGACCTCCCCTTCTTAGCTCTGTCCTGCTCAGACACACACATGAAGGAAATTCTGATATTTGCCTTTGCTGGCTTTGATATGATCTCTTCCTCTTCCATTGTCCTCACCTCCTACATCTTTATTATTGCCGCTATCCTAAGGATCCGCTCTACTCAGGGGCAACACAAAGCCATTTCCACCTGTGGCTCCCATATGGTGACTGTCACTATTTTCTATGGCACACTGATCTTTATGTACCTACAGCCCAAATCAAATCACTCCTTGGACACAGACAAGATGGCTTCTGTATTTTACACAGTGGTGATCCCCATGTTAAACCCCCTAATCTATAGTCTAAGGAACAAAGAAGTGAAAGATGCCTCAAAGAAAGCCTTGGATAAAGGTTGTGAAAACTTACAGATATTAACATTTTTAAAAATAAGAAAACTTTATTAAACAAGCAGGAAATAAATCAAACTTTTTCTTGTAATTATTTCCCAATGAACTGAAAATGTAGCTGTTACTTTAATGGACCTTGACATTTTCTGCAAGAACCAGGCAGATCATGAAAAATCAGTACGAATTAAAGCATTCAATTCAGGCCATCACAGTCTTGGCAGACCACTGAAACCACGTTCAAATACAAACAGAGACACACTCATATATGCAAACACTCATAGGTGTATTTAAAGCAAAGGCAGCAGCATGTTTTTGTTAGAGTTTGGGATGCTGAAACAAGATTGAGTTTGAACACTATTTCCTTCATATTAGCTCTGCAACCTTGGAAAATTGAGCTAAATTTTGTGTGGCTTTGTCTCCAAGTCTGGGAAATAATAGGACCTAACTCATTGCTCTTTTTTTAAGGATTGTACAGGTTAATATTTATGAAATGCTTAGAAAAATATCCAGTGATAATAAGTGTTTTGGAAGCCTTAGGTATATAAATGTTTGTTATATAAAGTTAGAAATGAATTTATTTGGCCTGGCACAGTGGCTCACACCTGTAGTACCAGCACTTTAGGAGTCAAGGGTGGGAGGATTGCTTAAGCCCAGGAGTTCAAGACCAGCCTGGGCAACATAGCGAGACCTTCTCTCTCTCTCTCTAAAAACAAACAAACAAACAAACCAAAACATAAAACTATTAAAAAATAAATTCATTAAGGTCTTCAAGGCTAATTAGTCAAGTAGTCCTACTTGCTACAATCAAGTAAACATATGATGTGTGTGAAGTTTTCTCTCTAAATTGAAGGTCACATAACTAGCAATATGAAAATTCTAAAAGCAAATTTAGGTTTATCTGAATTTTTTGTTAACACTGTGGGTGTTAAGAATGAGGTTAATTGGATTTAAATGTGTCATTATCAGATTTTTTAAAAAATATAATTGGAAGAACATGTTTTATAAGAAATAATTTTTAAAATAAACACCTTCATTGTACTTGCATATTTGTTCAATTAGAAAGTACCCTATGTTATTATGTAATTTATTTGTGCCTGCTATTTATTCAGTCACCCTTGTAGATGATGACATATGATTAAAAAAAGTGATATGATACATTTTTATTGTTTTGACATTTCAGAAAAAGTAGTGGTTTAAAATTATTATTTTTTTTCAATTTTACAAGGAGATTATGATACTTGCAGCCATTATATAAAATACAATTTGAGCTTTACAATATACTGTGATTATTTCCTCTTCTGTACTTTCTTTGTAAATGACTCAGATATGCTACCCTGAGGTGCTTTTAGAACCTTGTGAGTGGAGTGAATTACCTGGCCTTTAAAACAGGTTTAACAGAGAAACCTGGTTTTTCTACTCTCCACACTTTGTCTTGTGAGTGTATATTTCTGTGGATGGATATACACAATATTCTCACATATCAGAGCCACGACAAGAGTCATAGACAGTCTCTCTTTTTACAGGTAGTGAGATTCAGGTCTACGGATCCTGAAAATTCACCTGGAGGAGATTGGTCTTCTGTGGTTTCACTGCACCTGCCTACTTGATAGAATTATTTACAGTAGCAATGTTTAAACATTAATTGAATTCTTCATGTCTTTACAGAGTTATAATTCCCTACTATTAACAATCACATATTGAGATAAACCTAGGTTTTCTAAGGGAAATGAGCTAAGAAATTCAACTTTACTCAATAGACTTTTTTTTTTAAATGTTTATTCTTGCGCAGATACACGCAGTTCTGTGCAGCCTCTAAAACTATCATCTGAAAATTGCTCCAGGTCACTGAGTTCATCTCCTAAAACACCAGTCCTTCAGACAAAACATTGAAATAAACACTATTCAGTCTCCAGGCATATTTAAATAAATACTTGTATTTGTCACCCTTCTGTTTGTGATCTCTATGATGTTTCTGTATCTAGGTATAGAATAAATACAGAGGCTGACAAATAATATAGGTCTTTAGCGGTGTCTAAGATCAGTGGAGAACATGCTTGATTCCAGAAAGATTTGACCACAGATTTGAGTTTTGATACTTCTAGTGTATAATATGTAAAGCTCAAATACCTTATAAAACAAGAAACATGCTTATTCCACAAGCTACAGTATGAGTATGTAGTAGAAACATGTGTGAAGGCCTTGGCATGATGGCTGTCACCTAAAAGAGCCTTGGTAAGTATCAGCTTTATTATTATTGGTGAACGACCCTTAATACACTTTCTTGTAAATAAAATTTTTATATAATTTATTTTTGTATCTACAACTGATTAGTGGTCCACCTTGAATAAATACTCATCTCCATTCAATGTTATAAAAATTAGCTGAGGCAATCCATTTTAAACACTTCACCCAGAATTTGATACAAGAAAAGCACTCAGTAGACGGTAGCTCATTCATACTTTGAAAAATTAGGAGTTCAATAAATTCGTAATTTATTAATCTAGTCTTTGTTAAATTAAACAAAAGTGGTTTTATTTTTTAAAAATGCATATTTTAAGTAACGAGTATGAAGGAACCTAAAAGAGTTATTTTAAAATATGTCTATCAATACACACACACGATGAAATTTAAAAGAATTTATTTTAAAACACCACAATAAAATAGCTCCTTAACTTTTATATTTTCTTTTTGTTGATTTTAAAATAAAGAATATCATATTGCCAGCTATCTCAAACTTTATTACCTTACTATCCAAGGCCAAATAAGAGAAATAATTGGTATAATAACAATGTCAATAATTAAGTGTAATACACACCATATGTGAAGTACCAGCTGTGTGCTAGGAACTTTGCAAAGCTCTATATTTATAATGTTATTTAATCTTCACAATCAGTCCAAGAGATAAGAAACTACAAGCGCATTTTGAAGATGAGGAAACTAGGTACAAAATGTGAAATAATTTACCAATGACAACAGTTGATTATCACAGAAACTAAAATTATTAGTCAAACTGTTTGAAGATTTGAAGAGTCCAGTTACTAATCAGATGCTTATATAGAGCAGGCAGTGAATTATAATGGTGTGAAATGGCTCTAGTGGTCCAAATGGATACGGAATTCATGGTAACTCTGCTGGTGCTACCCTTCCCAGTAGAATGCAGAGAAAGTAGAGTGCTAAGGAAATTATCCAGTCTTAAAACCAAGAAAAGTATCCTTGCTATTTAAACTTTGACACTGTTTCCAGATAATCTGTGCAGCAAATTTGAAATGTAAGATAACAGATGTTGAACTTTAATATAATTCAAATATCACACATGATTTAAATAAAACAGCTATTTCCCATGCTGTTTATTTCATTATTGATGAAGCTGTGTTGTTCAGAGAGGAGTAAGATTCTCTCTCTCTCTCTCTCTCTCTCTCTCTTTCCTTTTCTTTTACAATTCAATGACATAAAATTTACCAAATGCATTTTATGTGGAAACTATGGAAAACGACACAGTGGATGAAACATACCCTGAGTGATGTTGAGTAGCCAAACTACGGAATTTGGCTCTGTCATTTACCACCAATGTGACTCTAGATAAGACACAACTCAAAGTCCTGGGTTTTGCCTCTGTCTAGGGATTTTTAGGTTATTTGACAGCCAAACATAACTTTTCTATAATTCTCTTTAGTGCATTTTTTACCTCCTGATTTCTTAAACTATAGATCAGTGGGTTTAATGTAGGAATCACTACCACATTAAACACAGAAGCAACTTTATCCATATTCAGGGAATGGCTTGACTTGGGCTGCGGGTACATAAAAATGATTGTTCCATAAAATATTGTGATGGAGGTCAGATGGGAAGCACTGGTAGAAAATGCTTTCTGTCTCCCTTCAGCAGAATGTATCCTCAGGATGGCAAAGAAAATGAAACCATAAGAAATCAGCACAATTACTAGAGAGCAGAGAGTATTGAACCCAGCAATGATTAACAACATCAGCTCTTTGACATGAGTGTCAGAACAGGCCAGAGCCACTAATGGAACATCATCATGGTAGAAGTGGTTGATCACGTTGGAATCACAAAAAGACAAGTAGGATGTCGCCACTGTCTGTACAAGTCCCACAGTGAATCCATACACATACGTGCTAGCAATCAGTTTAATACAGTTTTCTAGGAATGAGAATGACATAAAGTAAAGGGTTACAGATGGCAACATACCGATCATATGCCATGATTGAGAGCAAATATAATTCACAAACTACAAATGTGATGAAGCAGCATACCTGAATGGCACATGCATAAAATGTTATACTTTTAACTTCACACAGAAAATTTACCAAGGTATTTGGGGCAACAGATGAAGTAAAAGAAAAATCAACAAAAGCCAGATGGCTGAGGAAAAAATACATGGGTGTATGAAGCTGAGGACTGATTTGAATTAGCATAATCAAACCGAAATTACCCATAAAGCTAGCTAAGTATACTACAAGGAATATACCAAAGAGAGTGACTTGAAGCTCTGCATTATCTGTGAGCCCCAAGAGGATAAATTCATACACTGTTGAATGATTGCCTTTGGCCACTGAGTAGGTATAAAAGTTTTCTTCCAGAAAACCCTTTAGAGCACACATTCTGAGTAATGGTGTTCCCAATGGAAATAATGAAGCAGATGTTAGGAAATGATTCTGACCCGCCCTGATCTTATGTTGAACACATTGAAAGGAGCATCTTCAGGCTAGTTCTGCTTTCTGAATAAAATAATTTGTCCCAAGTAGAAATTCCAAAACATGCATTTCTGTGGAGATTTGTAAAGATAGAAAGATGACATGTTAAAGGTTTACATAATTGAATGATCTATGTCATGTCTTTCTTTTAATAAGAGAAAATCAAGATAGAGAGTTATTTGAACACAGATAACAAAAAGCATTTTAAAATTACTGGGGCTGGACATGGTGGCTAACACCTACCTGTATCCCAACACTCTGAGAGGCCAAGGCAGGAGAATCACTTGATCCCAGGAGTTCAAGAACAACCAAGGCAACGTAATGAGACCTTGTCCCTATTAAAAAATATTTTTTAAAATTAGATCACTTTAAATAAAATTGTACTAATTCTTCTGGAAAATTTTAATTCACACGAAATAATAAGTTTAAAAAAATATTGCACAGTAGGTATACGAAAGTTCCTAAAAAATTATGGGTACAAATAATCTCTTTATAATACATTCAGAATTATTTTTTTATTTTTACTTTTTCTTTTATCTATCAATAATTCTTAGTTTTTCTTCAATTGCTATGTACTATTTGTGAATTAAAGATAGAAAAATGCTTAAAAATGTGAATAGACTTGCTTTTAAAAATATTCATAACAGCATTATAAATGCATTAAGTGATCCAAAAAACACATTTGTCATGTTTCTTAAAACATCCAGATGCAAAGCAGGAGAAGTAAACAATTCTAGAATGAGTGTGTAAAAGTACAACCTGGTTCCTGGCTAATTAAAAGTAGCCAGCATTTAATGATCTTCACTTGAACAGAAGTGATATAAATTTAATTTTTTGTTATTATTCTAGCTTAGATTATCTTTACATCTAGCCTATATAATGGCCCTATGACTATCATCTTTATTTTCACATATAGAAACTGAAGCTGAGAACTTAAGCCCTCTTCATGCTTCATGACTGGCATAAGGTGAAGCAGAATAACTCATTACCTAGTCTGTGACTCCCTAACCTCAATCCATAGTTGATGCAAATTATCAGAAAGGCAAAAATTTCTGCATCAACAAGAGATCAAGGCAACTTTGATAAAGCAATCAATGAATTCGTCCATGCCAAGTGCTTCAGGTAGTGACTATCTCATACTGTTTGCCAAATAAATCAATTTTAGCTCTTGATAGCGTTAATATTATTTAGATTGAGGCTTACTCTGCAGAAGCCTGTGAGTAATCTCTTCATATTGATGATTGTAGGAGCTTAATCTTTTTTGGAATATTTTGAAGTGTTCTTCCATTGCCTGTCTAAATTGTAATCTCTAATCCTTACCTCTCCTGGCTCTTACTCTTTTCAGTGCTTACATTGCTGTGCTGAATTGAAACCTGTGTGCCTTTTGCTCTGATATTACCAGACTCTCCAACATCTTGAATCATTTGATTTCTCATTTCTTAAAACAGAACTTGGCTACTCCTTGAAAATCTGTTTTTCCTCAGGACATTTCTATGCTCAATTTAAAATTCTCCACACATTTCAAATATGGCAGGTGGGATAAGGCATTGCTGATGCTTGGAAAATTGCTGCATATTGATAATTATATCTTGCATTTGTGTCAACTCCCTTGATGCTTTGAAGCTTACACACTTATATGCTTTGTCACTGTATTAGTCCATTCTCACATTGCTGTAAAGATACTACTCAAGACTGGGTAATTTACAATGATGGTGGAAGAGGAAGCAGGCACTTTCTTTACAAGGCAGCAGGAGAGAATGTACATGCAAAGGAGGAGCTGTCAAACACTTATGAAACCATAAGATCTTGCGAGAACTAACTCACTATCATGAAAACAGTATGGGGGAAACCACACCCATGGTCCGATAAACTCCCACTAGGTCCCTCCCTTGACATGTGGGGATTATGTGTATTACAATATGAGATGAGATTTGGGTGGGGACACAGACTCAAACCATATAATTCTGCCCCGACCCCTCCCAAATCTCATGTACTTTCACATTGCAAAACCAATCATGATTTCCCAGTAGTCCCCCAAAGTCGTAACTCATTTTAGCATTAACTCAATATCGTACAGTCCAAGTATCATCTGAGACAAAGAAAGTCCCTTCTGCCTATGAGCCTGGAAAATCAAAAACAAGTTAGTTTCTTTCAAGATACAATGAGGGTACAGGCATTGGGTAAACACTTTCCAAATGGGAAAAATTGACCAAAACAAAGGGGCTGCAGGCCCCATGCAAGCTCAAAATCCAGCAGGCAGTCATTAAATCTTAAGGCTCCAAATTAACATCTTTGGCTCCATGTTTTACACCCATGTCATGCTGATGCAAGAGGTGGGTTCCCATGGTCTTGGGCAGCTCCACCCCTGTGGCTTTGCAGGGTACAGCCCCCCTCGCAGCTGCTTTCATGGGCTGCTGTTGGGTGTCTGAAGCTTTTCTAGGTGCATGGTGCAAGCTGTCAGTAGATCTGCCATTCTGGTGTCTGGAGGATGATGGCCCTCTTCTCTGGGCTCCATTATGCAGTGCTCCAGTGGGGACTCTGTGTGGGAGCTCCTACCCACACTTTCCTTTCACACTGCCCTAGCAGAGGTTCTCCATGAGGGCTACACCCCCAACAGCAAACTTTTGCTTGGACAGCCAGGCATTTCCATACCTCCTCTGAAATCTAATTGGAGGCTCCCAAACCTGAATTCTTGACTTCTGCTCACCCATAGGCCCAACACCACTTGGAAGCTGCCAAGGCTTGGGGCTTGCAGCTTCTGAAGCAATGGCCTAATCTGTATGTTGGCCCCTTTTAGCCATGGCTGGGACATAAGGTACCAAGTCTCAAGGCTGCACCGAGCACAGTGGGGCCCTGGGTCTGGCCCACAAAACCATTTTTCTCTCTTAGGACTCTGAGTCTGTGATGGGAGGAATTTCTGTGAAGGTCTCTGACATGGCCTGGAGACATTTCTCCCGTTGTCTTTATGATTAACATTAGGCTCCTCATTATTTATGCAAATTTCTGCAGCCAGTTTGAATTCCTGCCCAGAAAATGGGTTTTTCTATTCTACCATATCATCAGGCTGCAGATTTTCTCAGCTTGTGTGCTCTGCTTCCCTTTTGAATAAAAGTTCCAATTTGAAACCATATCTTTGTAAATGCATAAAACTGAATGGTTTCATAATAATCCAGGTCTTGTCTTGAATGTTTTGCTGCTTAGAAATTTCTTCTGCCAGATACCCTAAATCACCTCTCAAGTCTGAGGTTCCACAGATCTCCAGGGCAGGGAAAAAAAAATGCCACCAGTTTCTTTGTTAAAGCATAGCATGAGTGACCTTTACTCTAGTTCCCAATAAATTCCTCATCTCCATCTGAGACCAATTCATCCTGGACTTCATTGTTCACATAACTATCAGCATTTTGGTCAAAAACATTCAACAAGTGGAAGCTCCAAACTTTTCCATATCTTTCTTCCTTCTTCTGAGCTCTCCAAACTGTTCCAACCTCTGGCCATTACCCAGTTCCAATGTCGCTTCCACATTCTTCGAGTATCTTTACAGTAGTAACCCACTCCTGGCATCAATTTACTGTATTAGTCTGTTCTTACTGCTATAAAGATACTACTCGAGACTGGGTAATTTATAAACCAAGGTGATTTAATTGATTCACAGTTCTGCATGGCTGAGAGGCCTCAGGAAACTTGCAATCATGGCAGAAGTGGAAGTAGGTATCTTAACAAGGTGGCAGGAGAGAGGGTGTATGCAAAGGAGAAACTGTCAAACACTTAGGAAACTATCAGATTTCATGAAAACTCACTTACTATCATGTGAACCACATTGGGGAAACCATCGTGGATTGAATCATCATTCAACCCATGATTCATTCAACCCATGATTCAATTACCTCCCACTAGGTTCCTCCCTTGACACGTGGGGATTATGAGGATTACAATTCAAGATGAGATTTGGGTGGCGACACAGAGACAAATGTTAACAGTCACTTATGTATTTCCAGGTCAGTCCTTGTTATTTATTGAGAATGTTGACACCAAGATCACTGTCCTGTCACAAAGTTGTCATTAGTTCCCATGAACTTGACACATTTAACATACGGCTTTTCTGATTATTGATTATTTTTATCAGTGACCCCAGCACCATTCCACTTCAGCTTTCCACCCCCATGGTTCCATGTTTAAAATTATTTGTCTACAAGTTTACCAAATGCTAGATATCCAAAACTTAAACATTTTCTTATGATCACAAACTTCTACCCTCCCCTTTTCACCTCAGTTATGACTACAGGTCTTCACTTATTCACACATATCACTATTCCTTAAACATCTTAAAATACTCATTTATTTTGTCACTTTATTTTTTCAATTCTTCTCCTATACAGCTTAGTCTCCATGACGTATTGCTTCAACTACGCTTCCCAACAACCAACATTTTTTTAGGTATACCCAAATCTGGGTATTTTGTAATGTTGTCTTCACAATGAAATCTGAGCTATCAAGAACAACAGTTAAGAAAAAGTGAACTATTACAAACTTATATTCAAAATCAGCTACTTATTTACTTGACTGACTTTTCCTTAACCAAGGGCTTTCTCCCAATCTGCATGTTGCTATTTCAACCCTTTCAATTCTATCCATGCTACTCCTACCACACATGCTAAGCAGTACTACTCCTACCACATATGCTAAGCAGATGCTAAACTTTTTGATATTTAAAATGGGAATTAAAATACTAAAATATAAATTTCTCTACTTCTTGTCACCAGTTGTGTGAAACTACCTGCTTCCACATCTATTCGTATTACATGTTTTTGTGGGGGTGGGGGATTGGGGAGGTCTCCTATTTCTTATACCTAAATTTATATTTTGGTTCCATTCTCTTTGGCCTTCCACGTCTCCTTCCTCTGCTAATCTATTAAATCTCTCCCATCAATCTACTACTCCTCCACCTTTATTCCTTTACCTTTATTCTTATCTTCATTCTTTTAGTACCAGAAAAAGTTACCAATGCTCACTGCATCCTTCACGTTTGTACATCAATCTCTTGTATTTAGATATTTTTTTCTTAGCATTGCAATGCAATTACTCTCTCCAAATTCACCAACATTCTCTTTTCTCCCAAATCCAATGAAGATTTAAAAATTTCACTTCTCTGTAGCATCAGACACCACTAGTATCACCTTTCATCATGAAAACCATTATTTTGTTGCTTTCCAAGCCATCAGAGTCTCTTGGTTTTCCCATCTTTGTGTCTACTTTGTACTTCCCTTGATGGCTGTACTTCTTTGTTTATGATTTAAATAACCCTATTACTTTACAGTTATTTCCTAAGCCAAACCATGTCTTTTTTGCATATTCTTGTTGGAAGCTATCATCCGATGCTATGGGTATCATTGCTATTGATGTGCTGGCGATGCAGATGTCTAGATCTCCAGGTCACATTTCTCCTTTGAACCCTTTGTACACATATCTACTTGCTTTTCAGACAGATTCTATTACATATTCCAGATGTACCTAAATTTAACATGTTCAAGGAGGATTCATCAGTTCAAAAGCCACCCAACCCCACTCACATGCCTCTGAGTATATATTTTATAACTCACTAAATGGTGCCATCTGCCATGCAGTTTAAAAACAAAAACAAAAACAAAAATTCATATGTCCCTCTAATGTCCACTAATAAACCATAAGTGAATGCTACTGATTTAATCTAGATTTTGAAGTCTGTCTACTTCTAATATCCTCCATATTTTCCTTATTAGAGCCTCAAATAACTGCTGGGGATTGTTACCCTCTAACTGTTATCTTCCAGGCAGTTTTGCCACCCTATATCCATGTGGCACCTTGAGGGTACGTTCTAACATGCAAATCTTAGCTTTCTGTTTCCCATTAGCTTTGGACTACAGCCCAAACTTCTTAACCTGGTTTATTAAAGCTTTCCTAAATAAACCCTTCTTTGTAAACTAGTCTCCTTTCTTGCAATTTCCTTTATGCAATCCCCATGCACCAACCATGTTGCATACCATCAGTTTCTCAGATGTGACCATGGACTTTGAACATAGTTTGGCCAGAATACTCCTTCCTTTATATCTTTGTTCCTCTGGCTGGCTACTATCTTTCCACTTGTCAAATCTGAGGTGAAATTTTACTTCATTCTAGAGGTGTTTTATTATCTCCCGATTATTACCTCCAACAATCTAGTCACCTCTTAATTTGTTTGTAAGCTACTTTAAATTGTTTAATTCTCGATAAGCAAAGATTTATATTTTCCCCAATACTTAGCAGGACTCAGCAATTACTAGACACTTTAAATAATAGTAGAATAAACGAACAAATGAATACAAAGTTTGTGTTACCTGAAACCCCATTTTTCTACCTCAATTACCTTGATTTCTTTCCCACTACATCTTGCTTTTGAGTAATGCACAACAACCAAAAAGATTCCAATGTATCCTTAGGCAAATTCTGTGAAGGTCAACAATACTTAACATTACTTAAGTGTTGTGAATATATTTTGTATAATCTGTTGGTTCCTCTAGAATATTCTCATTGAATTACATCATTTTTAACAATTCTGAACCAAAGACACAATGATGTTTCACAAGCATGAGCAATTATGTTATGGTTGATCTTTTGGGACCCAATTTGTTTAAAAGGCAAAAAATAACCACTTAAAGGGCAGGTTACTATCCTGAACTAAAGTATAATAAAGAATTAATAATGGATAGCAAAGGTTATTTTAACATATGGGAAACAAGTCAAAATGTTTTGATTTATTTTTTATACTTTGTTTTAGACTTTATGACATTTATAAATTTTAGTAAGTAGTCCTGGTATACACTCAATCAAAGTTAGTTATCTTGCAGTTGAGCTTTACAAGCCTACAAAGTAATGATTTGGATTGTACCAAAGATGCACCCTTATATCTGAAACTCAATAACCTGTTGAGCAGTAAGCAAATAATAATCAATCCATAAATTCCTTATTGTCCTGGAGGTATATTTAGTTCAATCTCTGAACATTATTGTCTGAACGTTCTGTTCAAAGTGTTCAAAACTTTGAAATTTCGTTGTGCTTCCTAAGGTCTTTTGGAAAACATTTAAAATCACGAAGATAACAAAGAAATTAATACTTCATCTCTTCAAGCCCTTAACACACTCTGTTCATCTGCATTCCACACACCCGTAGGGATGTAGAATGATAAATTGAAAGACATATAGATAAAAAATATCATAGGAAATCACTTATTTTTACAAAAGAAAAAAACAGGAAGAAAAATTTAGTCTTACTGAATGTGAATTTTTTATTAGAATAATTGCTCTGATTTTTCATAATATGACTCCAACAGAATTGAAAGCAACTACAAAAATATTAAATAAAAATTTTGTGGAAGTCACCATATTTTTCTGGATTTTTATGTCTAACTAATCTGTGATGATTATACTACTCATTTTCCTTGGAGTCTTGAAAGAAACTCAAGGAAGCTTGAAAGACAATTACATATACATGGGTAAGAACCTCTGAGAATCTGTTCTTCAACTATTTTAGAAAGTTTTTAAATTTTTTTTACTTCTGTCAAAATCACAATATCTAATTTTAGGAATTCTTCTTAAAGTTAATTTAATTAAAAATACAATTATTTATGTCATCATTATTGGTTCAGCCATCTATTGCTAAATAAAAATTTAGTCCAGACTTTAGTGACCTAGAGCAATGATTTGTTATGTCTTAGAATTCCATTGTGCTAACTAGACTGTTCTCCATGTGGTGGCAACTGAGACGGTGAGAAAGCTGTAAGTTCTAAGATGACCTCAGTCACCTGACTGCCTTTTGGTGAGGCTGTCAGCTGGAATGTTTTGTTTTTATTCATGCAGCATCTCCATAGGTCTGCCTTGGGCTTTCAACATGGCAGTTGGGTTCTAACATTAAACCTTCCCATGAAGAAAATACAGACACTTCCAAAACCCTTAGGGTCTACCCTTAGAAGTTGCACAATATACTTTTGCGCTTTCTATTATATAACGCAAGTTACAAGGCCAGAGTTCATAGGGAAGTGGAGTATGCAAGTATTCATGTGGACAAAGGGATTCATTGTGTTCATTGTGGACCATTTGGCAATAATCTACAACAACCATGATCCTGAATCTGCCTCAAGGCACTTAAAAAAAATAAAAAAAACAGATGAGACCATGGATCATTTGTTAATATCCAAGAGTAAAAAAGAATTTTCAATTCAGAAACATTTAGCTCCTAATCCTGATTTTGCTTTATATAAGATGCCTGTTTGCAAGCAAGACATTCATTTCCTTTACGATTCATTTACAAAATTGGGATAATTCCCACCACACAGGCTTACTATAATGACTTAACTTGGCTAATATGAATCAATAAAGTTTAACTGCTTTATAATCACAATATTTAGTGGTATAAGCCAACTTATTTTCTTATAACCAGAATTTATTAAATTTTATTTTTATCTCGCAATTATAAATGATTTATCCAAAGTATAAGTCTTAGAATGATTTTTTTTCCGAGTTTGACACGAGATGTTTTATTCTGTATATTAAATAATTTTCTTGGCCTTGGTTTCTCTGAAAAAAATATGATACTGTATAGCAAACTTCCTTAAAGATATATGAACTCTTCCGTTTCAAAATTTTGCAAATGGAGGTTTTAATCACCTTGATGTTTATTTCACAAAACACCATGATGTTTTACCATTTTGATAGAATCTTGCTAATTGTAAATGTTGAACTCTGAGTGGCAAGATCTCTAAATGCCTTAGTAACACATATAAATCAAATGGTAGGAGAAGAAAAGCCACAAAAATTCAGAGTCCAGTGGTTTCCCGGGTGCATTTGCTTCAAGTTAAGTAAGCAGTGTTAAAGCAAACTAAATATGTCCTGAGAAGGACTCCGTACTTCTATATTTGAGTCCTTGTGGATGAACTGTAACCTAGTTTAATAGTCACACAAAATTGAAAACCTAACTTAATAGTATGCATCTGTAACAATAGCTGAGGGTTGACCAATCCCAGCGGCCATACTTCAACCACTCATAGACTGCTGAGTTTTAAAACTGCCTTCAAATAAGGCAAATGCGGAGCTATAACCAATCTCACTGTTTCTATACCTCACTTTCGATTCCTGTACATCACTTTACCTTTGTTGTCTACAAATTTGTTCTGACCACGAGGCACCCTTGGAGTCTCTGTGAATCTGCTGGGATTCTGGGGGCTGCTAGATTCACAAATCGTTCATTGCTCAATTAAATTTCTTTAGATTTAATTTGGTTGAAGTTTTTCTTTTATCAGATGGCGTCAGAAGCGGGAACCAAAGTGGAGCTTCTAGCGACCCGCAGGAGTGCTGAGTGAACAGCAAGGAACCTGCAGGATCCACTTGTGTCCCTTGTCTCTCAGAGCCGCTGGGGATCATGGGTAAGCTCCCTTTTGGGTCTTGGAACTCCACGGATTTGTGTTTTGAGCTCTCCAAGTTACTTTCAGCAAACGTCTGATCCAAACTGGGTTTGGAGTCGCAACAGAAACTGGACTGTGTCTAAGAACGGATTTGATCTGGGAATTAACTGGCTTGGATCCAGTTACAGGCCTCTTACATCTCACTGGGTCAGAAAGGAACTGGTAATAAGCAGTAATATTGCAGGGGTTATAAAATTTGGATTTGAAAATTCACAGGGATTTTTGTGTTCTACCCCTTTGTTTCACTTTTCTAGCGCGCTTAGTTGGGGAAAAAATTGTTGGTTAAGTTAATCAAGAGAAACTGAGAGTAAAGCCAATGTTTTAGGTAAAAATGAGATCCTTAATTTCTGGAAAACTGAGAAATTTCTCGGTTTTCTGAAATTTATAGAAACTGAGTATAACCTTAAAACTTTTGGCTTATATTTTAAGCCTGGGAGGCAGAGAAGTCTTAGAGAAACAGCAAAATCTTACTAAAGATAACTTAAAGTGGAACATTCCTAATGAACAACAATGCATTGAAGTACATTTAAAAATGAGGGCTCTCGCCGGACGCGGTGGCTCAAGCCTGTAATCCCAGCGCTTTGTGAGTCCAAGGCGGGTGGATCACGAGGTCAGGAGTTTGAGACCAGACTGGCCAATATGGTGAAACTGGGAGGTGACAGCATGCTGGCAGTCCTCACAGCCCTCGTTCGCTCTTGGCACCTCCTCTGCCTGGGCTCCCACATTGGCGGCACTTGAGGAGCACTTCAGCCCACCACTGCACTGTGGTAGCCCCTTTCGGGGTTGGCCAAGACAGGAGCCGGCTCCCTCAGCTTGCAGGGATGTGTGGAGGGAGAGGCACGAGCGGGAACCAGGGCTGCACGCTGGGCTTGGGGGCCAACTGGAGTTCTGGGTGGGAGTGGGCTTGGCGGGCCCCCCACTCGGAGCAGCTGGCTGGCCCTGCTGGCCCTGGGCAATAAGGGGCTTAGCACCCAGGCCAGCGGCTGCGGAGGGTATACTGGGTCCCCAAGCAGTGCCAGCCCACTAGCTCTGCTTTCGATTTCTCGCGGGCCTTAGCTCCCTTCCTGCGGGGCAGGGCTCGGGACCTGCAGCCCGCCATGCCTGAGCCTCCCACCCCCTCCGTGGGCTCCTGTGCTGCCCCAGCCTCCCCGATGAGCGCCGCCCCCTGCTCCACGGCACCCAGTCCCATCGACCACCCAAGGGCTGAGGAGTGCGGGCACACGGTGCAGGACTGGCAGGCAGCTCCACCTGCAGCCCCGGTGCAGGATCCACTGGGTGAAGCCACCTGGGCTGCTGAGTCTGGTGGGGCCTTGGAGAACCTTTATGTCTAGCTCGGGATTGTAAATACACCAATTGGCACTCTGTATCTAGCTCAAGGTTTGTAAACACACCAATCAGCACCCTGTGTCTAGCTCAGGGTTTGTGAATGCACCAATGGACACTCTGTATCTAGCTACTCTGGTGGAGCCTTGGAGAACATTTATGTCTAGCTCAGGGATTATAAATACACCAATCAGCACCCTGTGTGTAGCTCAGGGTTTGTGAATGCACCAATTGACACTCTGTATCTAGCTACTCTGGTGGGGCCTTGGAGAACCTTTATGTGTAGCTCAGGGATTGTAAACGCACCAATCAGTACCCTGTCAAAACAGACCACTGGGCTCTACCAATCAGCAGGATGTGGGTGGGGCCAGATAAGAGAATAAAAGCAGGCTGTCCCAGCCAGCAGTGGCTACCCGCTGGGGTCCCCTTCCAGACTGTGGAAACTTTGTTCTTTCACTCTTTGCAATAAATCTTGCTACTGCTCACTTTTTGGGTCCACACTGCTTTTATGAGCTGCAACACTCACCGCAAAGGTCTGCAGCTTCACTCCTCAGCCAGCGAGACCACGAACCCACCAGAAGGAAGAAACTCCGAACACATCCAAACATCAGAAGGAACAAACTCCAGAGGCGCCACCTTAAAAGCTGTAACACTCACCGCGAGGGTCCGCGGCTTCATTCTTGAAGTCAGTGAGACCAAGAACCCACCAATTTTGGACCCAAAACCCCATCTCTACTAACAATACAACAATTAGCTGGGTGTGGTGGTGCACGCCTGTAGTCCCAGCTGCTCCAGAGGCTGAAGCAGGAGAATTGCTTGAACCCGGGAGGCAGAGGTTGCAGTGAGCCGAGATCGTGCCACTGACTCCAGCCAGGGCAACAGAGAGAGACTCTGTCTCCTCCACCAGCTGCCCCCACCAAAAAAAATGAGGGCCTCAGTAAAGTCCTTTTTGGCTAAGAACGGGTTTGGCACTACGGGATGTCAACTGCTATTCTCTTTGGAATAATCTGCCTTGCACTTTTTGCTGACAGCTATGAGTGACAGGATTAAGCATGCAGGATCTTGGGACATGGGGAGCTTTTTTCTCCCTCAAAAGGGGAAACTTAAGAGCTAATGGGACTTCTGGAAAAAAAATTCCTTCACAACAGCAGCCACAATTTCACTGTCGCTGCAAATGGATGGGTCTTTCTCTGGCCTCTCTGAACATTTTGTCTTTCCCACCCTGCCACAGGCAATGCTTTTCTCAAAAATTCAAACATTATAAAATTAAAAAATTAAAAATGTAAATTTCTGCCTAGATTAGAGAATTAAAATATTGTTTTAAAAAATTAAGCTAAAGGTTTGAACAAGTTGTTAAAAGTTTATGGAAAGTAATTATAAGAGATTCTATGTGTGAACATATTGGCTAAAGTTAAAATGGCATTATTCAGTTTTTTTTCCCATGAATTAAGCATTAGAATAGAAGCACAACAGAGTTTTTTTAGAACATTGCTCTGCTCTGAGGAAAACAAAATGTGAAGGGGTTATAAAAGGTTTATAAAAATCTTACATTATGGCCAAAATAATTAAAACTGAATAGATTTATAAAATGTTATTAAAAACTGACTTAAACATTAAAAATACACTAATGGAAACATAAAATCTGGTTTTCTCTTTTAAAAGAGAAATGTAATATTAAAAGATAATGAAATGTTTTTGTTTACCTTCTAAGTAAACTACAAAAGAGAAAAGGTGGGGGAAGGAAAGAAGGGAGACAGGGTCAGTTGTCCTCATGCTGTCTTCATTGTCTTGTTTGGAAAGCTGAGTCTCCTATGTATCAGAATAATGTTTCATCCTTTAAAACATTTTTGTGTTATTATTTTGGCTAAATGAATGACTTATGTAACCTAAGATTCTATTTTGTAATATCCAATGTTTTAAACCTTTGGTATTGACCAAACCTTTCAAAATCAAGCTCTAGATTATCATGCTAAATCAGTCAATACTAAAATTGTTTAAATATACAATGTAATTGAACTCCATGGTCTAAGTCAGATTATGATAACCCATTAGTTATCAGTGCTATGCACCTAAATTGGAGAAACAACTGGTATTCAAGAGGACATGAGTCCACTGTTAAGCATGGATTCATGAAGAACCAGGATGGCCTACTTGTCCTTCCTGAGCCCTTCAAGCTTTTGTTGTTAAAGGTTCTACCTTCCGTAACTCGTCATGGGAAAGACAAAATAATCTAAATTAAATATATTGATGTGGTGACTTATAAATTGCAAAAATAGTTTAAAACCAATGTTTGGTTCCATATTCCTGGGAAGACAATCAAAGCTTCAGATACAATTGGCTACCAGATGGACCATTTAAACATTTATAAAGGGATTTCATTCCATTGTCATTTTTAATGCATGTTTTCTGGTTCTATTAAAGGTTTTCCATGCAAGGGAGCTGATGTTATTATACCAGTAGTTTATTATGCTACAGTGTATTTTCACTAGTAAATAAAGCTTTTTATGGTTCACTGAGGACAGTTCCTTCACAGTCTAGAGCCTGAAGATTGGATCTTCTGAGAACATCTGAGGAAGACTGTCCTTGCCATCCACACTACAGCAAAACTTTGGCCCCTTGAATTTTGGGTTTATAATCTCACAACTGAGAAGGTTCCTTCCACACTCCTGGAACTGTACACCCATTGGAACCCTTAAGGTAAAACTAACCAGGGAAGTTTCTCCCCAGAAGAAGATGGAATACTTGATGTGAACAGCTTTTCCCAAGATCATGGATCAAAACTTCAACTACCATAAGACTCTTATCTTTGAATATTTTTTCCTTGTTATGTCTCTATGAACAACAATAGAAGTGAAAAGGGGTTCCATTATGTGCAATTATAGTGTATACTTTTCTTTGTGAAGGATTTTCCAGCCAGTCTTATACATGAATAAACTTATACTTCAATAGATAAAAGATGAAGGCCCAATATAGGCGAGAAACTTTAGTGGTGCATATGTTGCCTCATAATCAGTCAAAACTCCTCTTAACCCATATCATGAATTAAAGAGAACTTTATCAGGAGGCCTTCACTCTTCTAGAAGGACATCATTTATTAAGTTCTTTTTCCATGGTTTAGAATAAAAAAGGCCATAATCAGAAATGTCTCCCTCATAATAGGCTCAACAGCAAATTACACTATAAAGGATATTGTTACACAACAAACTTTAAATTGTCCTGTGAAAGTTATGCTAAATAATAGATTGGCTAAACAGAAAAGCACATGTGCAGCTGCTGACACTTGTGGCCTATGGAGAAATACACCAAATGTAAAATATAAAAATTCAGTTGCAGGGGATTAATGAAAGACCACTTAGTCAAGTGAGTAGACTTTGCACCTAGCTCATTCTTTAATCTATTTAATTTGTTTTGTTTTACGGGGACCCTGGGTAAGGATAACTCCAAACTCTTGGTGTTATCCTCCAGATATTCATAGTAATAGTTTCCCTGATGCACTGTATTTTTCTCAAAGGCTTTAAATGTTTGCATGCAGCCATCTCTAGAATGTCAAGTGCTTTCTCTTCAACTAGAATGACGAAAGCTGAAAGAAATGTGCTACCATGAGGACACCGTAACTTATGAGTGACATGCTGAGACTAGAAACCCAAAATGATGGTAACTGAGAGTGGTGCTAAGGCCCTAAGCTTTGGTCACACTTTCATCTAAGTGAGAACCTGAGCAAAAAGGGGGAATTTTTTTTAAACAAAATTATGGGAGGCCATTATTTTGGACTAAGCTCATGGGCGAGGCCCTAGCAAACCAAACCAAATGAAAATGGAGTCACTTGTGCTAAATGTGACATAATCAAACTAAGGCTTCAAGAAAACACTTAGATCCTAGAACAAAACAGGTTTTGTTTTTCTCCTGTAAATAAGATGTTCCAGCACAAGGAGGTACCCTCTACTCAGTCCTTATTCTCTCCTTACAAACCTCACTGTTTCCCAGTGGGTTTCAAAACTGTATAAGTACATTTATGACAGTGATAGTAACATCAATGACTAAGGTTTCAATCAATCTCTCAAAATTGAGGAAATGAACAAAAAGGGGGAATTGTTAAAAAAAAAATAAACTAAATATGGCCTGAGAAGGACTCCATACTTCTATATTTGTGTCCTTGTAGATGAATTGTAACCTAGCTTGTCAGACAAAATTGAAAACCTAACTTAATAGTACACACCCGTAATAATAGCTGAGTGTTGGCCAATCCCAGTGGCCCATACTTCAACCACTCATAGACTGCTGAATGTTCAAACTGTGTTTAAGTAAGGCAAATGCTGAGCTGTAACCAATCTCACTGTTTCTGTACCTCACTTCCAATTCCAACTCACTGTCACTTTAACTTTTTTGTCTATAAATTTATTCTGACCACGAGGCACTCCTGGAGGCTCTGTGAATCTGGTGTGATTCTGGGGGGCTGCCTGACTTGGGAATTGTTCATTGCTGAATTAAACTCCTTTAAATTTAATTCGGCTGAAGTTTTTCTTTTATCTATGGTAGTTTTTGCTCATCTCCTCCAAGTTAGAAAACACATTGCTGTGCCACAAGTTTAGAAATAAGTGTAGCACTTTTTGGAATGATTTAGGGTTACCATAAACAATATACTATGCTGGGGTCTAGAGCTGTAAGCCATTTACTGGGTATTCCAGAAGACTACCTCTTTTGCCTCAGTCCCAGAGGAAGAGTAGATTTGGAAAGTGATCCAATGATGTTGGAGATATCTGTGCTGGGAAATAATGATACTTGGTCTCTGGAAAGTCCAAATCAGCATCACAGCACAGACATTGAAGCAAAGCCAGACATTCTGATGAATACATGAAATAGTTTTCTGTCTGAAACAAAGTGCCAGATGAAGGGACACCAAGTAAACATTAAGCATCAGCTGTCTATTCTGTACTTGATATTATAAGATTCACCAACTTATAAGTTTGGGCAGCCACAACAGCAATCCATTGCAAATGGAAATTATTCATATACAACCTGGTTAAATCAGGTTGAGATGGCATTAACAAATTATATAAACAGCGAGTTCACGGTTTTTATCACCTATTCCTGCTGCATAGACCCTTTTCTGTCAATATGTGCTATTATTTCATGGGCTAGAGGTTCCAACTGAGGAGTTTCCAAGTAAGATTTGTGCCCAGTACAAATAAGGGTTGCTACATCATGTAGAAAATAATCAGATATAAAGTTGTGCCACTTTATAGTCCCACTAGGAGGTGGCCTTGAAGGATGACGGTGAAAGCAAACTGTCCCAGTGGGTAGAATATTTGGTCTTCCACTTCATATGGAGAAAAGGTGGCCTGAAGAAATGGATATATACTGATTCATAAGCAGTAAGAAATAATATTGGCCAGTTGGTTAGAGGACTGGGAGTAACGTATTTGAAAAAACGTGGTATCCTTGGAAAGGAGATTTTAGATAATTTTGTAGAAGTGGGCACAAGACATTAGTTTCATTTTTAACTCCCAAAGATTAGCTCTAGCAGAGGAGGCTTGTAACAATGAAGACTGGATAACCTGTCCTGTAGATGGCAGTCATCCTTTCTCCTCTCTTGCAACCTCAGGGCTTTTACATGTATGCAATGGCACTGTGAGCAGAGCAAACAATGTCAGGAATGAGCCTATACATATATTCAACAACAATTTACAATATTGCTTCAGAAGAAAATAATACATTTTATAGCAACGAAAGTTTGATGTGATCATGCTATATAATGAATGGTCTCAACATGTACTCATCACTGACAATCATTTTGCTTATAGAATATGGACCCCTTCCTTATACAAAAATTAACTCAAGATGGATTAAAAACAAATGACACTTCTCAAAAAAACAGACACTTCTCAAAAAAAGACATGTATGTGGCCAACATATATATGAAAAAGAGCTACACATCACTGATTATTAGAGAAATGCAAGTCAAAACCACAGTGAGATACCATCTCACACCAGTCAGAATAGTGATTATTAAAAAGTCAAGAAACAACAGATGCTGGTGAGGCTGTGGAAAAATAGGAACACTTTTACACTGTTGGTGGGAATGTAAATTAGCTCAACCATTGTGGAAGACAGTGTGGCGATTCCTCAAGGATCTAGAACCGGAAATACCATTTGACCCAGCAATCCCATTACTGGGTATATACCCAAAGGAATATATATCATTCTACTATAAAGGCACATGCACATGTATATTTACTGCAGCTCTATTTACAATAGCAAAGACATGGAACCAACCCAAATGCCCATCAATGGTAGAATGGATAAAAAAATGTGGTACATATACACCACGGTATACTATGTAGCCATTAAAAAGGAATGAGATCATGTCCTTTGCAGGGACATGGGTGAAGCTGGAAGCCATCATCCTCAGCAAAGTAACAAGGAACAGAAAACCGAACACTTCATGTTCTCACTCATAGGTGGGAGTTGAACAACGAGAACACATGGACACAGAGAGGGGAACATCACACACTGGGGCTTGTCATGGAGTTGGGGGCAAGGTACGAAGAGCACCCGGACAAATAGCTAATGCATCAGTTCAGTAAATGTGCTGGCTGAATGTGAGGGTAATATGGGAGGGATGATGCTTGAATGATCAGGTAAAAATATTCAGTCAAATCAATAGAGATATTGTAAAATGAAGGATAATCTAACTTGTAAGGGATATTCAAACCAAAATCTTTCAGCCAAGCATCTCACCATTTTCCCCCCAGTTCAACTATGGAAGAAAACCTTGCCTAGTATTTGCAATATTATATGCAGTAATAATAATAGCACATGTCTCTCAAGATGACCTAAAGTTCTCAATATCATAGTGAAATAAGATAAAGTCATAATTTCAAGGTGCTTTCTTCTTTATTTCTATTTAGTATTGAAGCATCTCATGGTTAAAGAGAGTAGATTATTCTTATCTCTCTTTTGCAGTTCAAAAGTGAAACATTTACAAAATGCCTATCATTTGTAAGCCAAAGCAATAAAAGACATATTTTCAAAGAAAATAAGTTCCAAAGGACAAAGGCTTCTACATATACTAGCACTGTACAAACCTTGATTCAAAATGTCCTGACTCTGTACGTAGTATTTCTTTTAGTACCAACAAATTTTACTGTTGATTACTAGAACACATTTTTTCAATAATTTTTTTCATAGCATTTTTTTACCTCTTGATTCCTCAAGCTATAGATCAATGGGTTTAGCATGGGAATCACCACTGCATAGAATACTGAGGCAAATTTGTCTTTATCTAGTGAGTGGCTTGACTTAGGCTGTAGGTACATAAAACTGAGGGTCCCATAATATATGGAAATAGAAAACATGTGAGAAGCACAGGTAGAAAAGGCTTTCTGTCTTCCTACGGCAGAGTGGATCCTTAGATAGCAAAGACGATGAATACATAGGAGATGAGAACAATGATAAGAGAACAAAAAACATTGAACGCAGCAATGATGAACAACATCAATTCCTTGACTTGTGTATCAGAACAAGCCAGAGCAATCAGAGGAACATCATCACAGTAGAACTGGTTGACCACATTAGAGTCACAAAACGACATGTGGAATGTGGCCACTGCTTGTATGAGTCCCATGGTGAAACCATAAATATATAAGCCAGTGACCATTTGAATGCAGAGTCTCCTAGGCATGAGAACTACATAGAGTAAAGGGTTGCAGATGGCAACATACCGATCATATGCCATGAGAGCAACAATAATTCCCAGACTGAAAGTGTAATGAAGCAGCACACTTGAGTGGCACATGCATAAAATGACATGCTTTTAATTTCATGCAAAGAGTTGACAAGGGTGTTTGGAGTGATAGCAGAGGTACCGTAAAAATCCACAAAAGCCAGATGGCTGAGGAAAAAATACATAGGTGTGTGAAGCTGAGGACTGATATGGATTAGCACAATCAAACCAAGATTACCCAACACAGTAACTAAGTAAATCAGTAGGAATACACCAAAGAGAATGACTTGAAGTTCCTGATTATCTGTGAGCCCTAGGAGGATGAACTCAGTCACTGATGAATGATTGCCTTTTGCCATGTAATAGATACAGGATTCTTCTAAAATGAACTCCAGAGCATACCTTCTGAATAATCTTGACTCTATAAGAAATGACCAATTAAATGTGAGAAGATAGCCATGACTTACCAGTGTATTATATTAAGTTTAATTAAATTAAAGTTCTGATAAGTACTCTGAATTATACATAAATTTTCCTTATGCTTTCCAGGTAAAATAATTTGGTTCAGGCAGAAATTCCAAGATAGAAAATTCAGTGAAGAGTTGTAAAAGAAAAAAGTATTTTAAGTAAAATACTGTAGTCAATACAACAGCAAAATCTATGTTGTACTTTTCTGGAAAAACCAAAAAATAAAAACACATTGCAATGCTAAGAATGTGAGTAACATTGACAATATATGTAAATTTATTTCTTAAATTGTAAGTTTGTTTTATGAAATTATACACAGATATATTAGTTCACAAGGATATCACAAATTAACAAAATTAAATGAGGAAAATATAACATAAAAGTTCAAAATCAAAATATTAACACTATCATCTTGGGCATCCAAGTTGGAGTGATTTCAAAATTTTCTTCCTTTTGCTTATCTCTTTTTTTTCCTTTATAGACATTTCATTTTGATATTAAAGAATAGCAGGATTTTGAATACCCTGGCTTTGTCTTTTTGGAAGAGTACACACCAGTGAACAATTTTACAGAGTATGAAAAAACTTTAGCTGACGGAAAACCTTATTTAACTTCTATGTTTAGATATCTAAGTGGTCCAATGTGTATAGCATTTGGGCAGTGTTTTGAAGAACTAAATTCTACAGACCATTTTCTCAAACCCAAACTGGGCTCTGAATGCTTGAAAGCTGATGGAGTTAAATTGATCCCTGCATTTCTTAAGCAGAGCAGGGGATAAGTAAACTTGATTCTTTTTTATAATTATATTGTCTCTTGTTGCTTTACATGTACCTTGCAGATCTTCGAGGAAGGTAAAAAAATAAATAAAATATAAAAAACACCCATTCCCATAACCTTTGTCATCTCCTTAGAAATTTTATCTTGGTTAGTCTCTTCTCTTTTCTGTCACTTGCACTTCTCAGCCAAACATCTTAGAGTAGGCCTCTACTTTTTCAATCACATTCATAATTTAATCAAGTGTAATTTGCCTTCCTTTCCCATTAAACCAAAAAATCTCCTCACCAACTTCACTATTGACTTCACGATCTCCAAATCCAATCCAGCCTATTTTTCTTTGGCAGGGTATTAGCACTGGACTCTGTTAATATACCTTAAGTTTCCCAAACAAAGCAGTCTCTAGGTTGATTGTTTACTTTGATTCTGTACGTTGGAAGCTCTGCTTCCATTATATATGCTTCAGGTGACATGTACTTCAGGTTCTAAGCCCCCAAGCTCTCTTCTTTACATCTTCTTGTTCAGTGATTTTATCCAATCCTATGTCTCCAGTAAGCATCTATATTCTGGCTACGCACACATATATATTTCTATTTCAGATTTATTTTCTCTATTGGTATCTCTGTGTGTTAAATCTAATATTCAAAACCTGGAATATATACTTTCTCTAAATGAATAGGGACATTATTCACCCAGTGTTTCAAACCAGGGACCAATTATCTTTTACTATGCATTCCTGTTCCTTATGCCAATATTTAATTTGTCCCCAATTACTAACAATTTTATATCTGACATACTTTTCAAATCTGTTAACTTACATTCCTCTCTTGATGCAACTTTTGTTTTCTTTATTGTAACTGGCAACTGACTCATATTCTTGCCCCCAGTCTTTCCTATTTCTCTCTCTTCCTTACATTGCAGCTTAAATAAACTTTTTACAGATACAAACTTTATTCCAATATTCTCCTGGTTAAATCTCGTAATGCCTTCTCCATTGCCCTTAAGATAAGGTCCTAGTTTTTTTTTTTGTTTGTTTGTTTTAAACATGGCTGACATAGCTCTTGAAAACCTAGGCCCTGCATCTCAGACCAGGCTCATCTTTTGCAGCATTCTCCATTTGGTCTTCATGTTCCAGATATGATCAACTATCGCAGTTATTCAAATGTAATCTACATATTTATATAGTTTCCTTCTGTGCCCAGAACACTTTTCCTCTGCTATTATTACCTATCCCTGATTTTTCTTCTGGTTAACTTTAAATTTTTCTGTTGAATAATTTCCTCCTGGAGGCTTTCCTGACCTTCCAGGCCAAAATTAGTGCTTCTTATATTCACTATTTTGGATCCACTGATTGCTTTACGATAGCACTTGCCACACTATATTGCAACCAACTGTTAACACATGTCTGTAACACACCCTAAACTTGAAAGTCTTCTTTTTAAGCAAGTTTTAATTCTTAAATTATTTTATGCCCATTTTAATTACTTACCTCTAGTAGTGTCTAATATAAACAGATCATCAATAATTTCCTGTTAAATGATTAACTGAATAGAAGTAAAAGCCATATAAGTTTGATGCCTTTCCCACAGTTTGAGTTTTTTGTTTTTTCTATGACCCAGTGTCTTTCTATATTCAAAATGCTGTCTTTCAGTTCAACAACAAACCTCCAAATAGCACATTGCACCTGAAAGCAATGTTTGTGAAGCCAGTAACATTTAAAATTATGTAGACGTGAGACAGCTTTGTAATTTTTTTTTTTTTTTTTGGTGGTTCCTCTGGAAACTTTCTGTTGTTACTTTTGTTAAACAAACATTGCAAAACAAAATAATGATTATTCAGTAACAGGCGATTATTTGATGTTTAGTGTTTGGGGACAAAGCTATTTCCCTTGAAATGGTAGATCACTCTTTCAACTATTAGTCAATAAATGAATAGGGAGTAGAGGAATATTTTAATGATCTCTTTTGGGAAAGCAATTTGATTAATGGCTATATCTACTTTGATTATTTGCTACATTTGCTTTAGTTTTGCTGTATTGGCTTTTAATGGCAATTAAGAATTTATTTAAAATAAATGTTGAGCTTGTGGGCCTCATATTTAGCAGCAGATTTTATAAAGTTTTAGATGAAAAATAACTTTTCCAGTTAATAACACTCAAATCTGCCTTCTGAGATTAATATCACAACTTGTTGTTATAATTGGCGTTGTAGTTCAACAGTAAGGATTAATTATTTTTTAAAAATTTGTTTTCCTCCCTAGGAGAGAAATGCATGCAAATCATAGGTTAATTGACACCTAGTTGTTCTCATTCCATGGAAAGAGATGAACTCCTTCATCCAGGAGAATGTTTAGCAGTAATATCTGAAGCTTTTTTTATAAATTTTCTGAGATGGCTCTTTAAAGTCTGTATTGAAAGATGCCTGACATTATATGCAACAGATAAGCTAGAAATACTTTCACATAATAATGAAGGCACAGGAAGAAAATTGAGGTATGTAGGAGTATGATGATTAATTTATTATGTAGAAATAAAAACTCTCCACCTGTCTATATTTTTAGGAAGTCACAGAAGACAGTTTCATTGCTTGGGCAATAAGGAATGCACTAGCGTAGAGGAAACTGGTATTTTTTTAGAGGCTCAATAGTGGCTGTGCTCTTCGGCTTGTATGAATGGAGTGGACCTACAGGTCTGTGCTCCCTAATAACAGTAGGGATGTTGTTATTCCAGAATGAGAGTAACAAGGTGGATGCAACACTGGTATTGGGTTACAATACTTGATTAGGCTGCAACTGAGGTACTTTAACCCGGTTTCTATGGTAATGGGTTATGGATTGTGATGTTCTTGGGTTTAGACGGATGGGCAGCTGATGTTGTTTAATAATTGTATATAATTCTATAATTGTACAGGACATATAAAGCATAGTATTTTAAAATATTCGTCCATTTGTGTATTTAGACAAAATATGGAGCTGGTGAGAAAAAAACTAATAACAGCTGTCACAATGAACAATGTTTTTCCTTAAGATTTTTTCAAAATTAAGTCCGATCATAGATTTTAAAAAAAATCTCTTTTATTGAAATGAGAACTGAATTTCCTTGAAGCAGGTTCCTTGAACCGTTCTAAAATACAGCGTGTTAATATAATAGCTCCTTTTCAGATACTTTCCAAAGGAATATACCCAGTGCTTTTTATATGAACATGTGAGAATATCAGAGACTTAATATGTCATAATTGGGAATGATGCTCTAGCTCACTTTTCAGGCACAGTAGATCAATTAGTTGTATTAACAGCCCCAGTTAAAGGCCTCTCTGTAATCATGCTCTTTTTCTATAAATGTATAGTACTTCTGTATTCTGCCTCTGGCCTCAGTCATGTAACTTGTTTTAGCTGATGCTTTGATAACAGACTTGACACAAATGTAGGCTTGAGAGAGGTGTAGTGTATTTCAACTTCCTGTCTTACTCTTCCTCCTTTGCCCTGACCACAGATTCATGCTAACCTGTTGGCAGATGAGAAGTCATGTGGCGCTAAACCAGTTTTCACAGGTGGGGACATCTTATACCAGCTTGTTTCCAGGCAACATATTAGCTGAGGATGAACTCATGAGTGGATGCAGACAAGATTAGCCAAGCATGGCCCAGAGCAGAAACTGTCCTATGACACATGGTAAATAATGCATTGCATTTGTTTAAGCCACTCTGTTTTGGATTTTTAAATTCATCATTTTTGTTTCAATAGAAAACATTTTATTACGTAATTCCAGTTGTGAATGGACACAGAGAAGATATGGAAACTCCTAAACAGTCACAAACTGCAGTGCAAACTTCCCTGCTACTTGGGATGGGAGCTTTCTCAGGGATTCTTATACATACAGTTTCCTGGGGGCATTTGCGTCACTGTTTAGGGCTAAGGTCTTCATTATCTGTTCTGCTCACCTTCAAGCTATAGCTTTCCTAGCCCTGTCCTCAATATTTCCCTAATCTTTATTTCCTGAGATATTCCAATATTCATATTAGCCCTTATTCTTATAACAAGCCCTTTCTCTATTTCTGTACAGAACCAACTGTGGCACAGGAGTGAAGGAGAAAACAGATATCTGAGGAAGCCAACACCAGGCCAAAAGACAGCCTATGCAAAGATGCTACGGAAAGCATGCAGCAGCTGTTGTAAGGGCAAGGAGGTCGGAACAGAGAAAGGCATAAAGGTTAAGGTGACAAGGTCGGAGATTTAGCATGAGGTCAGGTAATTCAGAGTTCTGTGGCTCCTTGCAAGTCCTTTGGCTTTTGCTTTGAATAAAATGGGTTTCCAGAATAAAAGTTTGTTTTCTTTTTTTTTTCACTTTTGACTTAATTTTATTTTTAATTACTTAAACTTGTAATGTTTTTCAAATCAAAACAACATAGTAATATTTATTTTTTAAGGGTTGACTTCTGTCCCTATCTGCACTTGTTCCACTCTTTTTCATTTTAACTTATCCTCCCATTATTTTTGTCTTTTTTTTTTTTTTCTTGAGAGAGGGTCTTGCTCTGTCTTCCTCAGGCTGGAGTGCGGTGGCAAGATCTTAGATCACTGCAGCCTCCGTCTTCTGGGTTCAAATGATTCCCCTGTCTCAGATTCCCAAGTAGCTGAGATTACAGGTGTGCACCACCACACCCAGCTAATTTTGTATTTTTAGTAGAGACGGGGTTTCACCATGCTGGCCAGGCTGATCTCGAACTCCTGAACTCAAGTGACCTACCCGCCTCTGTGTCCCAAAGTGCTGGGATTACAGGCATGAGCCTGCAATTTTTAATCAAATATAAGAAGCTACACATGTGCATTCTATATTCTTCCTTTTTTCTTGCACAGTGTAATGTGTAGTATTAATTCTTTTCTGCATTTTTGTCTTGTCAATATTATATTCTGATAATTACTCTGTATCATACCTAGAAATCTTTCCTCATACATGGAAGGGCTGTCTCTATTCATGGATATTCGGGTGCAAGTCTCTATTCATGGATATTCGGGTGCAAATCTGTTGCTAATTTAAATAATATCCCAGTAAATTACCTTGTGCACATGTATTAGCTTGTATTAGTATTTGTGTCAGTATTCCTTTGAATACTTGAATTCCTTTCTTAGAAGTATGATTGTTGGGTACCTGCAACTTTGCTAGATATTGCCAAATAATTCTTCACAGAAGTTTGTTGTTTGTTTGTTTGTTTGTTTGTTTGTTTTTTGAGACAGAGTCTCACTCTTTCGCCCAGGCTGGAGTGAAGTGGTGCGATCTCGGCTCACTGCAATCCCCATCTCCCGGGTTCACGCCATTCTCCTGCCTCAGCCTCCCAAGTAGCTGGGACTGCAGGTGCCTGCCACCATCAGCAGCAGATGAGAGTTCTTATTTACTTTCAGTCTAGTCAAATTTTTGCATTTTGAAATCCTCATAAATGAAAAATAGTATCTCTTGGTATTTTATTTTTAAGTTGAAAGGACTCTTAGCTCGATGCTATCCCTCCTTTCTTGTATCTATAAAGTTGATTTTTTGACATCAGGATTTCTACAACAAAAGTATAACGCTTTTTTGGCAGAATGAAAATTCTAATGATTTTTGGTTAGATCAGTCAGTGAGGGGAAAACTCAAGGAAATCATTACATTAACTTTCACTTTAAAGATAAGGAAACTCTCTCTGGTAAGGCTCAGAGGATTTAGATCACGTAAGTAGGTTTTGGGAGCAAACAGGGATTTCTTCAGAATATTGGCAGGGAAAATTCTGGAAGTTCTATGCTTTCAAAAATGTTAACAAAATGAGTGTTAAACAAATTGAAAGAGATTTTGTCAGTTCATTCTTGATTATTAATTAATTAATTAATTAATTAGAGACAGAGTCTTGCTCTGTCGCCCAGGCTGGAGTTCAGTGGCCCGATCTCGGCTCACTGCAAGCTCCGCCTCCCGGGTTCAGGTCATTCTCCTGCCTCAGCCTCCCCAGCAGCTGAGACTACAGGCGCCCGCCACCATGCCCGGTTAATTTTTTTGTATTTTTAGTAGAGAAAGGGTTTCACCGTGTTAGCCAGGATGGTCTCCATCTCCTGACCTCGTGATCCGCCTGCCTCGGCCTCCCAAAGAGCTGGGATTACAGGCGTGAGCCACCATGACCGGCCAAGTTCCTTTTTTTAATACCAATGGGAATTATATCTTCAAGCAAAGGGCTATCATTTAAAATTACCTTTTTTGTGGATTATTACTATGGGCTTAATATTCCATATAACACTTTTGAGGACATTTGCTCTGGTACTATGCAACACTGGTGACAGTGACAGAGTAGAATCTGGCTGCATTTGAAATGGAGGTGGCTAGAAATTTGATAGTGGTGGTTGTGATTCAGGCATTCTCTGTTAAGGCCGGGGTTCACTCCAGACAGAGTGAAAATGACTGAACTGATACAGAGGTGTATTTTTCTATGACATTCCTGTAAACTGTCCCACTTCCAAATGTGTAAACATTGAATTGAATATGAAAGAGCCAGATCCAGTCTCCTGACTCAATGAAGAGTTGAATCCTTACATACACATTGATATCTCTCAGAAACTTGAGTGTAATTTAATGGCTGGTCATAAAGTAATTAACAAAATTCTAGATATTTTAAGAACTTTGACAAAATTGTGACAACGTTTTCTTAAAAGTATTGAGTATTGTTTTAACTTATTATTGGTGAAAAATAAAAACTTAGTTAATCAGCACTTATAAAACAAAGTCGATTTTGTTACACTAAACTTTATTGAAGATGAATAGATGGTATTATTTAACAATTTTCTTAAAAACAGATACTTATAATTATTTCTTATAAATAAAATCTTTTTTTAAGTTACAATGAATTTGGAATTGGGCCAACAAAATACTATATTAAAAGATATTGTTCAATTAAAACATTAAATTAAAATTAAATGAAGACTTATTTTTAGTTTTTAATTTTTTAAATTATAATAGCTTTAGGAGTAAAAGCGGATTTGGTTTCATCGATGAACTGTATAGTGATGATGCCTGAAATTTTAGGTCACTCATGTAGTGTATGTTGTATTCAATATGTAGTTTTTTGTGGCTCAACCCACCCACCCACCCCTTTTCTGAGTCTCTAATGTCCATTTTATACTACTCTGTATGTCTTTGTATAGCCACAGCTTAGTTTCCACTTATAAGTGAAAATATGCAGTATTTGGTTTTCATTTTGGAGTTAGTTTACTTAGAATAATGATCTCAAGTTCCACGCAAGTTGCTGCAAAATACATTATTTTGTTATTTTTCGTGGCTGAGTAGTGTTCCGTGGTGTTTGTACACCACATTTTCTTTATCCACTCATGGTTGATGGGCACCTAGATTAGTTCCATATCTTTGCAATTGTAAATTGTGCTGCAATAAACATATACAAGCAGGTAGCCTTTTGATATAAGGACTTTTCCTTTGGGTAGATACCCGGTAGTGAGATTGCTGGATCAAATGGTAGATCTGCTTTTAGTTCTTTGAGTAATCTCCATACTGTTTCTCATAGAGGTTGTGCTAATTTACTTTCCCATCAGCAGTGTATATGCATTCCCTTTTCACCACATCAATGCCATCATCTATTATTTTTTTAATAGATGTCCATTTTAATAATGGCCATTCTGGTTGGGGTAAGGTGGTATCTCATTGTGGTTTTAATTTGCATTTCCCTGATGATTAGTGATGTTGAGCATTTTTAAAATATATTTGTTGACCATTTGTTTATCTTCTTTAGAAAAATGTCTATTTATGTAATTTATCCACTTTTATTTATTTGTTTTTTCTTTTTGATTTGTTTGAGTTCCTTTCAGATTCTGGGTATTAGTCCTTTGATGGATGCATAGTTTGCAAATATTTTCTTCCATTCTATGGGTTGTTTGTTTACTCTAATGGTTATTTCTGTTGCTATGCAGAAGCTTTTTAGTTTAATTAGGTCCAATTTCTTTTTGTTTTGTTTGCATTTGCTTTAGGTGTCTTAGACATAAATTCTTTGCTAAGTCCAATGTCCTGGAGAGTTTCTCCCAGGGTTTCTTATAAAATTTTTAAAGCTTCATGTTTTACATTTAGCTCTTTAATCCATCTTGAGTTGATTTTTGTATACGATGAGAAATAGGGATCCAGCTTCATTCTTCTACAATTTTCCCAGCACCATTTATTAAACAGGGTATATTTTTTTATTTGAGCTTTTATTTTGGCATAATTTTAGAATTACAGAAAAGATGCTAACATTTTACGAAGAATTATTTTGCACCATTCACCCAGCTTCTCCAGATGTTAACATTTTACCACATTTTTTCTGAGCTTTGATAATAAGTTGAAGACATGATGCCTCTTTACCTTTATATACTTGTTATATTTACTAAAAGCAAGAACATTCTCTTAAATGACCATGCTACTATTATAAAAATCAGCAAATTAGCAATTATAAATATACCTCATCGATAGAATTGTTTTTGACACTAAGGTACTTTTTGTTTCATTTGTTAGAATTCAAGTTGCTCTTTTAGTATTTTTTAATTAGGCTTTGCACCAGTCTTTTTAAATTAGGTGTTAATGCCAGTGTCCCTGTCATGTCATCAGAACCAATAACTCTTTTGGGGTTCAACTAATAGGTCATGTGTGTGTGGGTGTGTATGTGTATTTTATAGACAATGTTAATGACTCAAAGCTGCTTTAGTGATATAAAGTGGACATAATTTTTACCAATTCAAGGTTTATATATTAAAAGTGTTGAAGTCAAAGTCTTCACTGGAAAAAAAGATTGATTTTTAAATGTTCCATGAAACAAAATTTAGCCTACTATTTGCAACTGAATAAATGTCATTTTCACTTCTCACAATATCAACACAGATTACTTTCATGATTTAAAATAACATTTCTCCACTTTGAATTGTGAAGAAGTAATCCGGAATGGGAGATAATATTTGCAATCTACAGATTTGACAAGGGATCAATAAACAGAATATATAACAAGCACGAACAACTCAGTAGGAAAAAATAAAATCCACAAAAATTCAATTGAAACATTGGCAAAAAACCTGACTAGACATATCTCAAAAGAAGACCTAAAAATGACTAATAGGTATATGAAAAATGGTTTAATATCACTAGTAATCAAAGAAATGCAAATCAAAACCACAGTGAGATGTCACCTAATCCCAGTTAAAAATAGCTTTTATCCAAACGACAGGCAATAATGGATGCTGGCAAGGATATGATGAAAGGAGAACCCTCAAACACCATTGGTGTGAATGTAAATTAAATTAGTGCAGTCACTGTAAAGAACAATCTTGAGGTTCCTCAAAAAACTAAAAGTAGAACTACTATATAATCCAGCAATCTCACTGCTGGATATATAGCCAAAAGAAAGGAAATTAGTATATTGAAGAGATGTTTACACTTCCATGTTATTGCAGCACTATTCACAACAGCCATGATATGGAATCAACCTAAGTTTCCATCAGTGGATGAATGCATAGAGAAAATGTGGTACATATACACAACGGATTATTATTGATCCATAAAATTAATGAAATCTTGTCATTTGCAACAACATGAAAGATATTATAAGTGACATAAGTCAGACACAGAAAGACGAATATCACGTGTTCTTACATATATATGTGTGTGTATATATATATGTGTGTGTGTATATATATATATATGTGTGTGTGTGTATATATATATATAAAACTCCTGGAGATAGTAGAATGGTGGTTGCCAGAGCAGAGACTGGGAAGTGTATTGGGGAGGAGAGTTGATAATGAGGAAATAGTTAATGAGTACAAAAATACAGTTAGATAGAAAGAATAAGATGTAGTGTTTGGTAGCACAGTAGGGCAACTATAGCTTCCAATAATTTATTGTGTATTTCAAAATAACAAAGAGAATGGAATTAGAATGTTTCTAGCACAAAGAAATGATAAATACTCAAAGTTATGGATATCCCATTTACCCCGATGTGATCATTACACAGTGTATGCTTGTATTAAATATTAGATGTACCCCATAAATGTGTACAACTATTGTGTATTCACAACAATTAAATATATACATTTAACAATTCAAATAATGAAATATGAAAATTAATGCATGTTCTGTATCGATATCAACTTTGATATTATAACATTAAAAAGCAGGTTACTAATGGTGTGCTAGTGCAAAAATACTTAAAGTCTGGCTTTATTTTGCCTCCCAATTCAAAGGGCTTTATGATTAGACCCAAGGTCATTTATCTTGTAGTAAGACATAGATTTTCCATAATCATCTTCAAAGCATCTTTGACTTCGTGGTTCCTCAGGCTATATATTGAAGGAATTTTCACAATACAGAAAACAGAAGCTATTTTGTCTGTATCCAGAGAATTATTTGTTTTTCACTGCATATACATGAAGGTAATTATACCATAAAATATGATGATAGAAGTCAGGTGGGAGTCACAAGTAGAAAATGCCTTTTGTCTACTTTCAGCTGAATTAATTCTCAGAATGGCAGACAGTACTGATATGTAGGAGATGAGGATGATAAGAAGGGAGAAAAGTGTATTGAAACCAGCAAGTGTGAACAATATCAGTTCTTTTACATCTTTGTAATGGTTTTTATGATAGGGTAGACATGCTAGGGGAACATCATCACAATAGGAATTATTTATTATATTTGAATCTCAGAAAGACAAGTGGAATGTAAGAATTGCCTGTAGGAGTCTCACAGAAAAGCCATACAAATATGTACTTACCACCATTTGAATACAGACCCTTCTGTTCATGATGATACTATAGAGTAAAGGGTTGCAGATGGCCACATACCTGTCATATGCCATGGCTGAGAGCACATACATGTCACAAACCACAAACATGATAAAGCAATGCAACTGAGAGGCACAAGTAGGTAAGGATATTCTTTTAGTTTCTTGGAGGAGGTTCACTAGGCTGTTAGGGGTGATAGAGGAGGTGTAGCAAAAATAAACAAAAGCTACGTGGCTGAGAAAAAAATACATAGCTGTGTGAAGCTGAGGACTGATATGAATTAGCATAATTAACCCAAGGCTACCCATGACACTACTTAAATTGATCACTAGAAAGATCCCCCTAAAAAAGGGCTTGGAGCTCTGGATTGTCTGTGAGTCCCAAGAGGATGAATTCAGTAACTTCTGAATTATTGGTTTTGGCCATGAAATATGTGTAGAAGTATTTCATACCATTATCTTCAAAACATTCATCCTGGATAATCTTCCATTTCTTGGATTAAAGACTTGACTCACACTTATTTGATGGTGATCATACTGGAAAGATAACTCTCTCTTGTCCTATACATCATTCTCCCTGCTTATTATCAGAAGGGATTTGCTCCAGTCAGATATTCCAACATGCTTAGTAGTCTGGAAGATTGTTAAAGAAGATAGAATATCTTGAATTAAAATGTGGAATGTTATATATACAATAAAAACCCTGTATCATAGGAAAAGCAGGATAAATACTTCAATGATAAAAGAAATGCTAACATATTTTAGAATACTACATTAAGGCAAAATACTCGATATTTCTACTCAACTTAGAATCAAGACAACCATGGCTTTGACTAAACATTATGCAGTATCCTAGCCCATGCAACAAAAACAGTGGTAAAAATATCATTATTTTTAAAGTATGTATTATACTATATTGGTATATATTCTAAAGTATATATTACAGCTTATTGGTACTTGAACCAATAAGCTCAGTGGAAAAATATTATTAGATTTGTTATGATTGTTGTGAAGCATTCAGTTACCAAGCTACATAATGAAAATGATACCATAATAAAAATGTAGCTTCAAGTAAAAGTGAAAATATAGTTTTCAAGATTCCATTTAAAATAATGAGGAAAAAGTAAAACCCAAATTTTAATTTACTATTAAACTTGGCAAAATATTGGCTTTATATATTCATACATATATAAGTTAAGCATATATAACAATATGCTTCAGAAGTTAAGCATATTGTTTATGCTTAACTTAAATAAATTTATAGATTCACATTATTTTGTAGTGGGGTGGCATTTGGGGAAGAAAAAAATTATTTACAGGTTAATTCAAATTCATAATGCATGAAAGATAAACTGAAATTGATTTATTAAACTTTCAAGATAAACAAGATATTTCTTAAAGTAATTAAAGGTTACTTATTCTTACAAAAAGTAAAATATAAACTGTAGGATGCAAAGCAGGGTGGAGATCAATGGCATTCCAGTGGATGTTTATCAACTGGCTTTCAAATTTAAAAGAAAAAGGAAGATTTAATTTGTAACATCTGTTGATTTTGTGATTTCCATGCTGTAAATACTCCCATCTTAGCTGATTTTAAGCTACTGACCTACAGTCATGAACATGAGTTCAAAAGAGATTTGCAGATATAGTTCTTGGACGCTAGTATGGGCTGCCTCCAGCACAGCACTGGTGGTAGTTATATAAACATAGGTTAATATTATAAATAAAATAATACAAAAATTAGTAAATGACAAATATTTTATGATTACGCAATATGCTAAAAGCAGAACACAAAATCAATGATGAATCTCTAGCTGCTTTCCATGTAATATATTTGTTAATTACAAAGGGAAATAATCAATTTTATTAAATATCAAAGGACTAGATAACATAAGATTGATCAAATTAAAAGGATGAAAATATCCATGTTGGTAAAGGTGTGGGAAATGGATATATCCTCATGAACATCCTGTAAAGATGTAATTTATCCTCAATTTTCTAGAAGGTAGCTTAACAGTAAGCATCAAAATTGTTTAAAATATTTCTGCCACTTGATGCAATGATTTCAATGCTAAGTCCATAAGAAAATAATAAAAATATGCAAGTACATATATTGTTTAATTTCAGTTACCGTAAAATGGAATTTGTCTAAATACGTTCTAACAGATATTTAGTAACTGTAAATTCTTCATAAAATACTAAATGACCCTTTAAAAGTTGATATAGGTTTTCATTTATTGACATGAAAAGAAGGATTACATATATAAATATATACAGGTGATATTGCATGTATGTATACATATATATGTGCACAGAAATACTCAAATAAAATATGACAAAATGTTAACAGTAGTTATACCTATGTGGTGATATTGAGATTGATCTTTCCTTTTTCTTTCCATTTCTTTCTTCCTTCCTGCCTTCCCATTCAATTTTAATGGTTCTTTACATTTTATGCTATCCTCTGTTTTCATAAACTTGACTTTAATTTTATATGCATATTTCCATGTTTCAATATCTTAGATGCTTATGCACTTTGACAACTTAATTTTTCACATTGGTGTTTCTATAATTTGTGCTTATCTGGTGCCCGTAGGGATGCATGAATTTATTTGCTACTAAAGATTGTTTGCCCGATCAAAAATAAAAGTTAAAGAAAAGATTGTTTGCCAATTATTTGCCATTAAATACAGACTCATACTTTCACATTTTTTGGAAATATTTTGTTGTGATATGTTCCACAGGTGGACTAATTTGTTAACGAGTTTGAAGCACTTGTCAAATGAAACATGACTGTCCTCAAAACGGACAAAACCAACTTAACAAAATCATCCGCAAAATTTAAGCGGAAATCATGACAAATCTTTTTCTCCTATATTAACAGTTATATAACAAATCCTCAGTTTTAACCTGAAAATTTTAAGCTTTAATTGTGATTGGATAATTTTCCAAATGTTTAGCTTTTTCAAGTTAGGTATGAAATTGTAAAAATTACAATTAAAAAATTTTTCACTCAAACAAAAGTTTTTAATCATAATCTTTTTTGATTTTGGGACAATTAATTTAACAGCTGATATATTTTTATCTTCATACTGCTTCATTTTATGAATTTAATAGTTGATATTTTCTTCACCTCATTTTACTTTTTATATTTCATACTTTCTTATAAGATCAGGAAACTAGAGTATACATAAATAGAATAAACTGTTGAGGACTTCCAACTCAGCAAATGTTAGATTTAGAGCTCACATTCAGGCTTTTATTCCCCAAAATATCTACGCCCTTTAGTAGAATGGCTGATGCACAGACAATGTACCAGCCTGCTAAGATAAGAGGTTATGCTTTTTTTTTTGAGACAGAGTCTCGCTCTGTCACCAGGCTGAAGTGCAGTGGAGCGATCTCTGCTCACTGCAACCTCCGCCTCCTGGGTTCAAGTGATTCTCCTGCCCCAGCCTCCTGAGTAGCTGGGACCACAAGCATGCACTACGACGCCCCACTAATTTGTAATATTTTTAGTAGAGATGGGGTTTCACCGTGTTGGCCAGAATGGTCTTGATCTCTTGACCTTGTGATCTGCCTGCCTCGGCCTCCCAAAGTTCTGGGATTACAGGCGTGAGCCACCACGCCCAGCCAAGAGGTTATGCATTTAAGAACATTAATTATAACCTTTCAATATATAGATGACAGACTTAACATCTTCTGCCAGAGCTTAATCCTATGTGAGACAATAGGAAGGCACTGAAATGTTCAAGTAGTAGATACATGTGTTTAAAGAAAAAAGGAGGAAATAAACTTTTGAGAACTGTGGGTCATGCTACTCCTATGTCTCTACAACCTCACAAATATATAAGAAAATTATTGAAAATGGACACTAACCTAAAGCAGGTTATTTAAGAATTATTTCTATTTTAATATAATCTCTCAGTGGGCATTAATAGTATATTTCTAATCTTTTGCCATTAAGTATGGAAACAGGCTACAGATGAAAAAAAGTGAAGCAAAAATATTAAATGATAGGCATGATTCATAAAATCAAATCTTTCTTAGGCTAAATGATGAAAACACATGAGCACATAGAGGGGAACAACACACACTGGGACCTTTCAGAGGCTGGAGGCTGGGAGGAGGGAGCCAATCAGGAAAAATAACTAATGGGTTCCAGGCTGAATACCTGGGTGATGAAAAGATCTGTACAACAAACCCCCTGACACAACTTTACATATGTAACAAACCTGCACTTGTATCCCTGAACTTAAAATAAAAGTTAAAAAGATACTTTAAAATGATTACTCTCTCTCTCTCTCTCTCTTTCTCTCTCTCTCTATTATCAATTTATCAGCTGTGGTGTACAATAATCTTCATTTATAAATTGCTCCCTCACGTTTATGTGACTTATAATTAGTAGACTAGCACTCAAGTCTGCAGGTTCATAGAAGGAAGGGAAATGATACTCAAGTGCCTACCATGAATTATTACCCCTTTCCATATTGCTTAGTCCTATAAAAGTCTCTAAACTGAGTAACATTATTCTCATTTATCTGATGAGTAAACTCATAAGAGCATACCTAGAGCACAATGACATGTTTGGGATCTAACCACATACTTTGACTATAAGGCATGTGCTTATTCACTCGGCTACATTGCCTACTGGGTTCATTGAGTTATAAGCTATACCTTAATAAATAATGACCAGCTTACCTGAGCTTTGCTGTGCACAACTGTATATAATCCTTGTTACTGGAAAAATGATTTATGATGTTTCAATGACTGTGAATATATTTGTTTGAATTATAATGCCCTCCCCTCCTCCCTCCAGAATTCTATCCCTGAGTTACATTATTTACATTTTGGGAAAAAGTATAATGAGATCTTGTAGGCATAAGAAAAGCAGTTCTCTTAGAGAGTTAGTCTTCAGAGACAGAACAAGACTTCCAGGAAGTAGAAGGTACATTCAGTCAGTAACATAGGTGAGGTTAGAAAGCAGTACTCTTTGTATTAATAAAGACAATATGTTAAATGCATAAATATAGGACATTTTTATATTGTCATGTATTTTTTCAAAAAATTAGGAATTGAGAAAGAAAATGTTTAGACTATGTGTCTTTATTTTTCACGTGGGATATTGTAAATACAGCTTCAGAATCCTGAACTGGGGATGGACGGGGAGAGGAGTTAACTTTTGTCTGTGCTCTGCACATAACTAATTATATATCTTGATGATGACTTTTTATGCATTCTTCATTTGAGAAATAGGAAAATTGGTATAAAATATTATGCAAGAAAATTAATAATTTTAATATATTTTCCACTTGAAAAATAAGAGAAGTGTTGTAAATTCTTATAGTTACTTTTATACCTAACGTTCTAAGAGAAATTCTCTAGAAAATTGTATTACACAGCGAAAATATATGTATACATCACATATTGAGAAACAAGGATCCTGATAACTTATACTGGGAAAAAAATCATACCATGAAAGAAGTCCATTTTTCCTTACTCAAGTTACTTTCTTAATTTTATAAACACAAAACTCTAGTTTTTATTGATAATGATTTTCTTCAGAGCTTCTTTCACCTCCTTATTCTGGAGGCTATAGATTAAGGGATTCAACATGGGAATGATCACTGTGTAGAAGACAGAGGCCATCTTGTCTGTGTCCAGGGCATGGCTAGAGCTAGGCTGTAAGTACATAAAAATGAGGGTCCCATAGAATATGGTGACTGCCAGCATGTGAGAGCCACACGTCGAGAAAGCCTTCTGTCTTCCCTCAGCTGAATGCATCCTCAGGATGGCAGAAATGATGAACATGTAGGAGACAAAGACAATCAGAAGGGAGGAAATGAACATGATACCAGCACAGGCAAAGATCCAGAGCTGTTTGAAGCGAGTGTCTGAGCAAGTTAGCCTGAGGAGAGGCATGTCATCACAATAGAAATGGTTGACAATGTTGGAGTGGCAATAGGAGAGGCGGAAGGTGAGGATGGTGTGAAATAGTGCCATTAGGAAGCTATAGCTATAAGGAACTGCTACAAGTTGAATGCAGATTCCTGGAGTCATTACAACCATATACAATAGAGGGTTACAAATGGCCACATATCGGTCATAGGCCATGGAAGCCAGTAGCAAGGATTCTGATATCATGAAGGTGAGAAAGCAGCCCAGTTGAGTAGCACATGCATCAAAGGATATAACATTTTGTTTGTACAAGAAATTCCCAAGCATTTTGGGTGTAATGACAGAAGAGTAACAGAAATCCACAAAAGCTAGGTTGCTAAGAAAGAAGTACATTGGTGTGTTGAGACTTGTATCCGCTCTAATGAGTAGGATCAAACCCAAGTTGCCTACCACTGTGAAGAGGTAGATGGATAAGAATAGCACAAAGAGGGGCATCTTCAACTCCTGATGGTCTGTGAGGCCCACAAGAATAAACTCTGTCGCCTGGGTGCAATTGATGTGAGCCATATCTTTTCTGGCCATCTAAATGTGGAAGTAGAGAAAAGAGTTAAGTCTAAGTCATATTTTAATACTGTAAATCCTATATGTGGTGTTTTTATATTTATTGTATTGTAAAGAGTTTAATTAATTAGATTTATTTATTAATTTATTTAACTAATATAATGATTGTTAGCATACTGGAATTCTGGAAATGTGATGGAGAGCAAAAAGAATATAACACCGTATAAACATCTTTATATCTAAAGCATGAACTTACATGAATGTAGGGAATGAATCCTCACATAATCTTATCCTGTAAATTAGAGTAAAATTGATATTTGCTTTCTAAGAGATTTGGAAGTTTATGTTTCTTTACATTCAGTTTATGTCTGCTTTTTTATCTTTTATTAAAAAACTGATTTAATTACATTTTTTGCATTAATTTTTGTTTTCCTACTCTATTTAATGTTGTGTATCATCATTTTCTTATTCATTTTGGATAATTTTAAAATTGAATTATTGAATACCCAAATAGTATCAAATATCATGTCTCTCAACTCCTCTTTCTTCTCTCTCCCACCATTATATCTAGTAATGGAAAATAGAGCTTTCCTTAAAAACTTATAAATTTCACGCTTTGAAAATTACTATGCAAATAAATATATAAATAAAATAAGAGCCTGTGTTTCTTCACTGTTCTTCAGAGTTTACTAATAGCTCTTGAGTATTTACTTCTGCTCAATTAATCAAAGAATCCATTTCAGTTATTTGTGTTTTGTATTAATAAACATATTTATTGAGCAACATAATGTGGTAAGTAGTAACTTTCAAAAAATACTTATTTACCTTAATTTTATTCTAAATAAATTATATTTATTATATGTATAAGATACATATTAGATATGCAATATGTAAGTATATACTAGATATCCTAAAACCCTAATACAGATGGAACATTAATGTCTAATTATAGCAACATGGAAATTGATGGATAAGGACATAGGAACCCATAAATTCCAAATCTCTAATTGCATGTTAAAAACTGAACGTCAATTTTGAGTTAAAATAGGAAAAAGAAAAGAGAAAAGGGAGGTAAGTAAAAAGAGAATTTTTGGTCTTTGCACTGCTCAGACCAAACCCTTCTCAAGAAGACTAACTTTCAGACTCAAACTTTTTTATGACAAACTATAGAAATAAATACTTGTTATAAGATGGCATGGAACTAATAGATATATTGAGAATAATACTTTTGCTTCCCTGACATCCGCTTGTATTACATATTCTTTCGTTTTCTAGCGTAATCTGTTCCATTCTATTTAATTCAAACAATGCTTCTTGGGATCCTAAAAAGTGGATTTAAGATCTACTAGTAGTTACAAGCACAGTTTCAAAACCTACACACTAGTCCCCACACACTGAACCATTTTCACTAACATGAGTAGATAAGCAACTTACCTTTAACAGTTCCTAGCTATACCACCCACTGTAATCTGTAACCAAGACTGAACATTCTATCCTTAACATTTTCCTGGATTTTGTCTAACTGCTACTCTTGTAGAAGGTTATTTCAATTCATTCAGTTCTTTATTCAATAATATATAGTGGGGACTATTAATTTTCAGAGCGTGCATAGAGTCTGAAGATAGAGCAGTGAAAGAATAGATAGTAGTCCAGGCTGGAAAGAAAGCAAGCGTTATCCAACTTTACCCTATATTTCTGGTCTCTTTTCTTATCATTCGTTTTTCTCCACCTGTAAAACACAAAACCCTGAAACGTGTGCACACAAACTATTTTACTTTGAATCCAAAGGAGAGCATGCATTATATTTGAAAGGACATGTGACTTTTTATAGTATCATCTCTGAATATTTTTATTATCCCGGTTCCACTCAACTCTCCAGTCAGCAGGAGCATCCATTGTTTCAATTAATGATTGGTCTCAATTTGTCAATAACAAAATGCCTTTCCATACTTCTCTATTTTTAATCTTGCCATTCCTAGTTTCTTTCTTTACAGAAAAATAGACAGTGAAAATGGAAACTCCTACTTATCTTTCAAGCTCTGCTGAAATATCACACTTCTATGAAGAGCTACTTAATTTTTCCTTCCCATGTTAACAGCTTTCATATTTGTCTTCCAAAAACATTTTAGACATACCTAATCTATATTTCATCTCTTATTACAACCATCTGTTTCCATATATCTTCCCCTGATAGACTTTAGACCCTTTGTGGTTGAAAATCACGCTGTTTTTATTCATTTCCTAATGTAGTCTCTTCTAGATGTTAGATGATGGGGAATTAAAGATTAATTTTGGAATGACATTTGAATATTTCTTCCCCTTGCCCCTAGGTTATATTATTTTCTTTGGAAAATATCTCTAGAGACATATTAGTAATGTCTAACGAATGCCCCACTAATCCTGGGTAAAATTTCTAGCTACTGCAAGAGGGGAAAGCAGAGTTTGGGCATAGAATGTATAATTTGGTCAATAACGGAACTGTTTATTTCCAAACATTTTTAAAAATTCTAAACAGGAATTTTTAGTTACTTCAATCTAATAAGAAATATTTTAAAATCACAATGCATACCCACATATAAAATTAAAATAAAACCAGAGAAAACACTTTATTTTATAAAATGTACTCGTAATGATTTTTCTCTAATTATTGTACGGCACTCTTTAATTTTAAAAATACTTATCTCGAGTTAATATAGCAAATGTATTAGCTATAAATGAGTCAAAGCCCACCATCTTGAAATATGCTCTATTCTACCTGGGAAGAGGATACTTGTATTTCTCCTCATAATAGGTGTGGATAGCAATGACTATGTGGTTTTTGTTAGTGTCTCTTTCCCAAAGGATCTTGTTCCAGAGTATGAAGCAAGTAAGAGTATCATAAAAATTACAGTCTGTACTTCATTGGAATTGCAAGGCAGGCTAAAGATTTATTGACCTGATCTGTTTTTAAATAACTGCAGATGTGAAGCTGTTTTTAGTATGACATTATTAAGGGTCCTCTAACTTTAAAAACATTACTATATTTTTATGTTTTACAAAATATATTTGCTGTTGTAGATTTAGTGTCAATCTTCAATATTGGCTTTGAAAGGCAGGTAGCTAACTATCTTTTTTGAAAATTCTCACAAATAGCTTTCTATGAAATGTGTATCCAATTCTTCCAAGGACCTACTCCTTAATATTTTATGCATGAGACATTTTGCAAAAGCTCTGGGCATGTGCTTATGTCCTAGTCACTCCAAACTAGACAACGGATAAGAAATGTCTTGTAAATTACTGTGTGAGTAAGAAGAGTGGATTTGTATATTTTCCATATTGGCTATAAATTTAAAATCATCCCTGTAGTTTTCTGTTAAGTAAATTTCTAACAATAACAGTAGCTTTATGAACACAGTACTTTGACTGAAACAGGAAAAGTGACAAAAGCTTAGAAATCACAACTTAGTTAAATGGTGTAAATATTAATTAGGATAAGAATTATAAGTGTGTGTGTAATATATTAAGTAATTATTTGAGTACATAGTTGTTTTTTCAAATGAGAAATACATCTAGTAAAATTGGCTTAATTTTCCATCTCTGTGATTTCGTACAAAATGCCATGACTTGAGGTTTGATATTGAGATACTGAATCGATATGTGCAGTACAACATGCACATGTACACACACACACACACACGCACAAAAAAAAAAAAAAAAAAACTTTCAGAGGATGAGTGGTGATCCTGATCCTGGACTAGCCATTTGACACTAAATCCTTACCAATGAATAAAAAATATTTTAAAACTCTAAACATTACATTTGGTTCCCCAATTCTCTTTATTTTTTGTCTTAAAATATATGAGATTAAACAATAAAATAATGAAATAATTTTAATACCTGAAAAATCAGATTTATAGATGGCCACAGAAAGCCAAAATTGTCATTTGTAAAATATGGAAGTTCAGACGCTTTATATAGAAAATGTTGTATGTATTTTAAATGATGGTATTTTGAAATATAAGTTAATACATTTCTTCCTCAGAGAATAACAAAGGCCTTTACAATTCTTATTCAGAGTTGTAACTGGCACTGTAAGTGTCTATATGTAACTCATGGCTTAGTCCATTCTACATTATCCTTTTTCTCATTCTTATATCTCATCACAAACATAACTTAGAAAACAGTGTCTGTGAGTAAAGACATACTAACACCATACCCAGAGAGTAGACTTGACTGTTCAGATAAATGTAATGTGGCAATTTTTTTTAATCTTGTCACATTAGACTAGATTTGTTTACCAGTGTTTAATGTTGATCAGTGAGTGAGTGTATACTAAAAGTCACTATACAATTCCATTCTTTCTTACTTTCAGCGGATCTATGAGTTCCCATGCCTAAGTTTTCTAAATTTCAGGAAAATAAAAAGATTCTGAAGAACTGCAGCACCTCCTTGCTTACCGAAGCATCTGTTAATGCTGGCCATGCTTCAACAAATGCCATTCATCAATTTTTTTGTAATAAAATTAAGGAAATGATGTCCCATATTAACTTAGGGATCTTTTACAATGTTATTTTAAGTGATAAAGGAAAACTTTTTTATTTAAGAGGCCTCATATGTTTTCTTCCTAAACTGGGGAGCTTAGAAGGCAATCCTTCGGGTAACATTAATTAGTAGAGAATAATCGATTAATCAAGAGTTTCTTTTAATAGTTTCATCTGTTCCTATTATCATCCAATAGATAAAGACATTGCATAAAAGAAATGATTAATAGAGTATTATTGATTTTATATTCCATTTACTTGGTGAAAGAATCAACTTTGCTGACCAGTGTGTTGGCCTCCAGAACAATTATTTCAACATCATAATGACACTCAATGGCCACAGGGAATTTACTGCTTTGTAATGTGTTGCTTATGTTACTCAGCTGTTTAGCAGTGGATCAACAATGATGGCTCTTCTTTTTGTCCTTTCAAAGGAACTTGTTTTTTACTGCAGAATTATTCCTGAACTTCCTTGCTTTAATCACTGCGCTCCGGCCACACTGACGTTCTAGCAATTTCTTTTTGTCTGTTTGTTTGTTATTGCCGTAACTACAACATATTTTAATTTCTGGTTATTTTTCCATATACAGAAGCAAGACATTGGGTAACACGTAGTAAATCTAAACGATTCCATAAATATTATATTGGAACAGAAAATGTACGGTCACAAGAGATGAACCATATTACCAGGTCGTGTAATTAGATGTGCAAACTCAGTTGCATATAAATGTTACCAAGTTCAGAATGGATCAAGCGATATTGACTTGTACTGGGAAGACACTAAACATTGTGCATGGCCTTTGTGTTCTAGTCTTAAGATTTGAGTACTTGCTATTCCCTCTGCTTGGAACACTCCTCCACATAGTCACAAGCCCTGCTTGCTCTCTGATATTATTTTATATATTTGCTTATTATCCATCTTCCTTGTCAAATAGAAACTCCATATGAGAAGAAACTTTGTTTTGTTCATTACTGTACCTTTGGGGCCTACAATAGTATCTTGCACAAATTAAGCACCCAATACATATTTTCAAAAGTTTGTAATACATACATCTTCTGTAGCATGTGACCATTTTGTTGAAATAGATACTTTCATGGTCTTTGCACTTTTGACAGATTCAGGAACAAAAAATCAACTAAGGCTATGACAAGTGTCCACTCACAGCTTGATATTTAATGGAGTTATTAAAAATATCATTCCTCAAACTTTTAATAATATTCAAAAGTAGATGAATCCTGATGGCTGAATTTACTTTTACCATCAGAGACTAAACTTTATTATTATTATTACTATTGCAATTATTCAGTAACATCAATACTCATTCAGTAGGTATATTATATGTCAGGCATTATGCCACATGCTTTCAAACATTTTCAAATTGTATTATCTATGAAATTTCTACTAAAAAACATTTTTTTTTTTTGAGACAGAGTCTCACTCTGTCATCCAGGCTGGATTCCAGTGGCATGATCTTGGCTCCCCGCAACCTCTAACTCCCAGGTTCAGGTGATTCTCCTGCCCCAGCCTCCTGAGTAACTAGGATTACAGGCACCTGCCACCTAGCCCAGCTAATTTTAGTAGGGATGGGGTTTCACTATGTGGGCCAGTATGGTCTCGAACCCCTGACCTCAAGTGATCTGTCCACCTCAGCCTCCCAAAGTGCTGGGATTACAGGCGTGATCCACAGCACCTAGCCCTAAATAACATTTTTGTAGTTTCAATTGTTTCCTCTGTTTTGTCGATTACATTTTTATTTTTGAAAAGGTGAAACCCTAGGTTTTTTTTATTCATCAAAATGCTGAAATTATACATAATTTTTCTATAGTATGGGATATTTTTCCATTGACTGTAACAGATTTGACTCTTGCAATGAGCAATCAAACAAAAAATAAGCAATCAAACAGAGATACCTGTGCTTACATCTGTGCCACTGATTGATAGAAGTGGAAGATGGGTCTGCCTAATGTACCCTCATCACCACAGTGTAGTTCTCATTAATCCTTGGAAGCAAAGTCCAGTGTTCTCTCCACTCCTCTAATGAAAAGTTTGTGTTTTCTCAACATTGTTTTTTCCACTTTGACTTGTGTAGGTGGAGATTGGGAGGTTTATTTGTTTGTTTTAATCCTCATTTTAAGGCCCTAGAGAGTTTAAAATAAGGTGTACTTTTCATCTGATGTCCTCAAAGAAGACTCTACTGGGACATTGTTATTAATCTCACCTTTTCTCCTGAGTTGTGGGAAATTATTATGTGAGAACTTTAGGTAGAGCCAATGTAAACAAAGGAAAAAACATTAAATGGTGTAGAGACTTTTTCATAGTTAAGAAAAATCATGAAATTACTAATAAATATGCAATTTCTAGAGTCTCAAGTCTGTCATTGAAATGTAATTTCAATAATTGAGGAAATTGTATTTTAGCTCAGGCACACAAAATGACTCTCACTATCTAATTTTCCTCTAGGAAAATTATTAAAGATAAAATATATCTTTCTAATCTAAGAAGAATAAACATTTATCTAAGAAATATGAGCTTTCTAGATCTTAAATTTTTCCAGCTGACAATTTATTTTTTCCAGTGGAGGATTTATAATTGACAGAAGAACCGTAGTGAACTTGGGTTTTTTTTTTAGTGATACTGAAGTCAACAATATGGCCCTACATTTGAAGTTTACATGGTTCTAAATGTTTTAGGGGGAGATTCATTCATGGTCAAAGGGCAGTATTAGTGATAAAGATTTTATTGGCAAAGCAGAATTTATGGATGCATCTTGGAGAATTAATGTTAGAAAATTACTAAACTTGGTGGGAGTGTAGATTATATTGTCAGCTTCAGACAGCTTTTTGAAATGTATCTGAATTCTATGGAGATGAGCATTGGCTGACATTTCTAAAGCTATTTATACTAAGCTTGATCAGATAAATAAACAATTAGATTAGAGCTAAGAAGCTGTGTATTCCACTCTCAGAAAAAGAAGTTGAAAATGATCAGTGGAGATGACTAGAATGAACACTGTGATGCTAGATTAAAAGCTGTGTCATCACTATGTGCTTAAGCTTATCTAGATAGATATAATAGTGAAGTAGGTAGGTAGGCAGAGAGATAGATATAAAATATCTAATATATATGTGTGTATATGTGTATGTGTGTGTAGATAGAAGATAGATAGATTGATAGATAGATAGATGATTTGTTTTATAAAAAACAGGGTCTTAATCTGTCACCCAGGCTGGAGTGCACTGGTGTGATTACAGCTCACTGCAACCAGCAACGCCTGGGTTCAAGTAATCCTCCCACCTCAGCCTCCGAGTAGCTGGGTTCAATGATTCTCCCACCTCAGCCTCCGAGTACCTGGGACTACAGGTGTCCACCACCACATCTGGCTAATTTTTTAATTTTCGCAAAGATGGGGTCTCTCTATGTTGTCCAGGCCGATCTTGAACACCAGGGCTCAAGTGATCCTCCTGCCTCAGCCTCCCAAATTGCTGGGGTTAAGAAGAGAGCAACCACACCCACCCTTTTTGTGTATTTAAATGGTTTGTTATCCATGCTTATAATTCCTATCTAAATTTGCTGAAAGTAACTAAAAAGAGTGACACCTTAGTAGCAACCAGCACACCTTGTATCTATACCTTGATTTCTAAAAACTCAGTGGTTCTATCAGGAGTCAAGCCCATGGTTGCTGATGACACAATATGTTCATCTGTCTTTCTTCCCCAAGAATAAAGAGGCCTGAGGTTTTTGTGGGGAAAAACATACTAGACTTAGCAACATAAACTGTGTTATTCAGATTTTCATTTTTAAAATAAAATTCCATTTATTCGTATGGAAAAGGAGGGAGATGGGCCACAGTAAGTCTTAGCTAACAGAGTGATGTTGATGAATGTCAGGCATTCTTGTTGTTTTTAATAAAGTTCACACTTTATTCAGCTTTCTTTAGTTTTTGCCCAATGTTCATTTTATGTTCCAGCATCTATCCAGGATAGAATATTGAATTTTGCCATTATGTTTTCTTATGCCCTCTTGACTTCCTATTTTTATGACTGTGATAGTGGTTAAGTGTTTTCTGAAATGTCCCTCAATTAGGCTTTTTCTGATATTTTTCTCATGATTAGACTGGGGTAATTGGTTATTGGGGAGGAAAATCATAACTGTAATTGACATTCTAATCATATCATAATGAAGGTACATACTATCAGTATGACTTATCACTGCTCATGTTAACCTTGATCATCTGGCTGAAATAGTGCCTGTCAGGTTTCTCCACTGAAAAGTTACTCTTCTCTCCTTTTCATATTAACTTTTCAGAAGGAAGTCAGTAGGTGCAACTTACACTTACAGAATGGGGAATTATGCTTCACCTCCTTGAGGGCAGAATAGCTACATAAATTAGTGAGAATTTTGTAGGGGACATTTGTCTCTTTTCTTCCATTTATAATTTGTTCAATCATTTATTTCTACCAATATGTTATAACAATTATTTTATACTTTGGATAATAATTCAATTCTGATATTCTACATTATTTATTTTTGTTGCACCAATTATTCTGGCTTTATTCATTGGAAACCCTTTCACTTTGCTCCTGTGTTATTTTGACATAGCTCTATCATCGTGTTTCTCTTTTGCTTTCTTCTTTCCTTCCTTCTTCCCTACCTTTCTCTCTCTCACGTTCGTTCAGTGCTTCCTTAACCTCTGGAACTATAATATGCTCTGGATTCATTACGTAAATGTCCCACCCTTTCCTAGTCAAGTCTCAAAGGAGCTCTGGCTCCTTTTTTGGAATATTGTTATTAGAAACTGTTATTTGGGTTCTAAGTCTGTTTGCTGCACTGAATTGTTCACATACCTTTAGGCCTTCTCAGCTGACAGATCAAGGAGGTAGAACTGTGGATACTCACTCATATATGTTGTATATACATATCCATAACTATTTCTATCTAGTGTTTATATTAAGTTGATTATAAGTTCATTTCATCGTTAACACTAATCCCTGATCACATGGATCACTCTAGAATACTCTCCTTGCTAATCTATAACCTTCTACTCCAATAATGTGAAATGTGGGAACAACCATATGCCATCCATTTATTTAACTGTTCATTTCTAGTATACAATCATACTTGTTTCAGAATTGTTAAAACATATCCCTATGAGACACAACTTTATAATTACAGTGTAATGTATCGTTCATTAGTTCATTCTGCCTTTAATTTTCACACTCTTTTAGATGTTACTTACATCAGCACATTTACCCCATCTCTTCCAGGGAAATTGTTTCATGATTTGTGTGAGTGTGTGTGTGTGTATGTGTGTGTGTGTGAGACAGGGTCTCACTCTGTCTTGCCGGCTGGAGTGCAGTGGCACAAACTTGGCTCACTGCAACCTCTGCCTCCTGGGTTCAAGTGATTCTCCTGCTTCAACCACCTGAGTAGCTGGTATTATAGGCATAGGCCACCACTCCCAGCTAATTTTTGTATTGTTAGGATAGAGGGGGTTTTGCCATGTTGACCAGGCTGGACTCGAACTCCTGGCCTCAAATGATATGTCCACCTCCGCTGGGATTACAGACATGAGCCACCATGCCTGGCATGTTTTGTGCATTTTTAATACAATGTATTGTTTTGCCACATTCTGCACTCCTTTTCAGGTTCCTCAGACCTACTAAATGATTTATTTTTAAATTATCTTTCATTAACATTTACTCTCTGTTCTGTATACCTCTATGAGTATTTGAAAAAGGGATGGTGTCATTTATCTACCATTACGGTATTATATCATACTGAATAGTTTGACTACAGGAAATAATTCCATGTGTCTTACCTATGTAACTACACCCTTTCATCCCTCCTTTCAAGCAAGTCTTCTCATTTCCTTTAATAAATAATTATTTTACACAACCACCTTTTTCTATTTAAAAAAGTAATAGTGGTGTTTAAATATTCACAGATATTATGGTAAATTCACAGTGTATGATTTCATTGCTGTAGGCATTATCTTGTTATTTTTTACATGTTTTTTTAAGGAGAGCAATAAAGGAAAGTAATAGATGGAACCCATGTACCCTGATTCACAAGAGAGAGGAAGCATAAAACAGACAGGATTGGAAAATATCTACTCAATGCTTTTATGAAGAAACTTCTAAAGATTAAGAAAAATATTCAGGCTGGGCATGACGGCTAACGCCTGTAATCCCAGCACTTTGGGAGACTGAAGTGGGAGGATTGCTTGAGACCAGGAGTTTGAGACCAGCCTGGGCAACATAGTGAGTCCCCGTCTCTACCAAAAAAAAAAAAAAAAAAAACCATGGTAGGTGGTGCATATCTGCCATCCTATTTGGGAGGTGAGGCGGGAGGATCTCTTGAGTGCAGGAATTTGAAGTTACAGTGAGCTATGATCACACCATTGCACTACAGCCTGGGTGACAGAGCAAGATCCTGTCTAAAATAAAGTAAAATAAAGAAAGATATTCAGAAATTTCTTCCCAAAAAAGTTATACTCATTGTACTGTTAGTTTCTTCAACACAAATTGTTTGAAAGGAACATAGATACAACTTTATCATTACACAAAGAGTGGTTTAACATTCACTCTTTACTTCAGGGTCTAAATAAAATCAAGCATTTTCTGAGACATTCTTCATAGCACCAGGTACACACCTTGTGCAGAGGTCCAAACATTTTTTTGTAAATTTATTTCAAAGGATAATTTTTCTCCTTCCCTAGAAATGTCCAATGTGGTTACATGAACACATAAGAATGATATTTCATTAATTTATCATCACATTAGGTTAAATGATAATTTTTTAAATTGATAGTTATTGTATTTAATGAAGGAAGTACTGTCTCTCTGTAAAAAGTAATGAGGTCCTGTCATTTGCAACAACATGAATGGAATTGGAGATCACTATGCTAAGGGAAATAAGCCAGGCACAGAAAAACAAACTTTGCATGTACTCACTTAATTATGGGAGCTAAAAATGAAAATAATTGAACTCCTGGAGACAGAGAATAGAAGGATGATTACTAAAGACTGGGAAGGGTAGTAGGGGGATAAGGGGGGAAGTGAGGATAGTTAATGGGTACAAAAAATAGAAAGAATGAATAAGATCTAGTATTTGCTAGGCATTTGATAGTAGCTGTGGACTCACCATGTATTAGTCTTATTGTGTTCAGTTACATTTCTTTTATACTAATATGTTTAGAGTTTTATCATGAAAGGATATTGAATTTTGTCAGATGTGTTTTCTGTTTATGTTGAATCGATCATATGATTTCATTCTTCTCTCTGGTAATGTGATGTATCACATTTATTGAGTTGCATATGTTGAACCATCTTTGCATTCCTGGAATAATTCCACTGATCATAGTAAATTATCTTTTTAGTATGCTATTGAATTCAGTCTGCTAGTATTTTGTTGAGAATTTTTGCATGTATGTTTCTCAAGGATAGTGTCCTGTAGTTTCCTTTTTTTCTTGTGTTTTTTTTTTTCTGGTTTTGATATCAGGGTAATAATGCTGGCCTTGTAAAATAAGTTTGGAAATATTCCCTCATCTTTAAACTTTTGGAAGAGTTTCAGAATTGCTATTAGTTTGCTTTTTAATGTTTGGTAAAATTAGGCAGTGAAGACATCGGGTCCTGGGCTTTGTTTTGATGGGAGGCATTTTATTATTTATTTTGGTCTTCACAGTCTGGGAAATTCTTTTCTGGGAACACTCTTAAACTGTAAGCTTGCTTATAATTTTTGGGCAGGTTGGGTGGCATTGTCCTTAATCCTGTGACCACGGCAGCTGTTGCAGTGCTAGGTGGTACCCTAAACCCAAGACTGCTGTGGTCAGTGCATCTTGGGGCTGGAATCCTGGTGACTGTTGAGGCTGGTGCAGCACTGGAGTATACTCAAAGTCTACTGCCACTAAGGCCTGATTTGCCCAGAGCCCAAGACCAATGTAGTCAGCCATCAGTAAGGCAAGAAATCAGGTACATTTTGCCGTGCCTATAGGTTCGTGCCTGGCACCAGGGCAGGCCAGGAGACTCAGTCTGCAGGAGGCTCTGACCTCCGTCAGGAGTTACCAGCCCAGATTCAGGGGCCATGAGGGGCTGCCAGGTGCTAGATTTTACTATAGTAGTCCCAGTGTTGGGGACCAAAACATATCCTATGCTCATTTTATTTTCTTTTTACAAAGCAAATGGTGTGTCTGTCTATGATGTGTTTCCTGGGTTTGGAGGAGAGGTGATGTGGGTGATGTAAAGTTGCTCTTCTTACTCTCCTCAATGCAGCTTTTCTTATTACTATGCTCTAATCAGGTGCTGCAAACTCCACCTGGTTTCCTTAGCTCTTGTGAAGATATTTTTGTGCATGGATATTTGTTCAAATTGATGGTTCTCTGGGGAGTGATCCCTGGAGAATCCTATTCAAACATCTAGCTCCACTCTCCTACATTTCTTTTGATGTATCATAATTATCATGACTTAAGATTTACTCCCTATAATTGAAGAAACTCTTCTACACTGAAACACCCTTATAAATAAGGTGAACATACACACAGAATGTAATATATCTTGTCCAGTATATGTATATTCATTCTTTTCTTTTTTCTTTTTTTTTTTTAATACAGTGTCTTGCTCTGTCTCCCAGGATGGAGTGCAGTGGCAAGATCTTGGCTCACTGCAAATTTCACCTCCCGTGTTCCAGCAATTCTCCTGACTCAGCCTCCTGAGTAGCTGAGATTACAGGAATGTACCACCGTACCTTGCTAATTTTGTATTTTTTGTAGAGATGAGGTTTCATCATGTTGGTCAGGCTGTTCTCAAATGCCTGACCTCAAATGATCTGCCTGCCTAGGCTCCCAAAGTGCTGTGATTACAGGCATGAGCCACTGCCCCAAGATTCATTCTTAAGGGTTCTATGTCAAAAATTCCCCATGAAGCTTATTAACATATAAATTTATTGACCTTTATCTTATGATTCTGATTTGATAATTCTGAAATTTAGCTGTGTCCCCTCATATGCAAAGCTGTGCAAGAAATTTAAATGTACGCTCAGTGAACAAGAGTTATCAGAAAGCAGAAAAAAATTTTTATAAAATGAATTTTTTATTTCCAATTATGTAAGAAACTTTCATTAATATGTTTCACTCAATGTATAATAATATCATAACACAAGGCATTCATTTTGTACACTAAAGAAGAATAATACTTAGAGTAAGGAGAAAGGGACATTTGTACAGAATCCGTGGAGTTTATAAATCAAATCCAGACTGAAAGCATATTAAATATGATACTCTGTCTCTCATTAAAAAATCGTATAAATTATATTAAGTGGAATAAAATTATTTTAATCTTATTCTGGTTAGCATTCAAAATATAAATTCATTGATAGTATTCATTTCATTCTTAGAGCAAAATTAAGAAATCATTAGAAAATTTTATTTTAAATATGATTGTTAGTTTAATTTTGATAACTTAGATGAAGAAAAGGATCTTTTAATCAAATTTCAGTTTTTCAAGATGAATTGATTGACTATACCCAACTATACCTGGAGGGCAGTGAAAGAAGACAAAGAATAAGAAAGTCAATTTTACTTCTCTCATCGTAATATTTTGCCTCATTCAAACTTATTTAACTTTTTTTAATTTTTTTTTCTAACTGCTGGAAACCATTTTTATTTCAAACTGTCTACCTGCTTAATCCCAGGCAGAATTGGTAAATAACATTTTTTTTTTCTAACTTAACCTCACAACTCAAAGGGTTTCAGTTTATTTTTTAATTCAAAGCTCCCTAAATTGTATCTTGTTGTAATTCTTATGATTGCTTACGAACCTGTAACTCGGCTACCTACCTTTTCTTTTTCCTACATTTTCTTTTACATAATGGCAGCTTATATTAACTCTCTCCTCATTTACCTGTACTGTTTAAAATTACATTGTTTTAAAGGAATAGCACAGATTTGTCATGAATCTCTGTAGAGCAGTCTTCACATCCTTATTCCTCAGGCTGTAGATCAAGGGATTCAGCATAGGAATTACCAACGTGTAAAACACAGAAGCCATCTTATCATCAGTATCCAGTGAATGGTTACTTCGGGGCTGCACATACATGAATAGCAATGTCCCATAAAAAATTGTGACTGCCATCATATGTGAAGCACAGGTAGAAAAGGCTTTTTTCCTTCCTTCTGATGAACATATTTTTAAAATAGACAAAACAATATTGAAATAAGATACTAGAACTATAATCAAGGAACCAACCACATTTGTTGCTGCAGATATAAAGACAACTGTTTCTGGTAAGTAAGTATCAGAGCAAGATAATGCTAACAGAGGAACATTATCACAGTAAAAATGATTGATTATATTAGAAGAGCAATAAGACACAGAGAATACATAAGATGAAACCACAATAGCTGTAGAAAAGCCATAGAGGTATGTGAGGGAGACCAGCAGGAGGCAGAGCCGCCGAGACACCACCACCATGTACAGCAGAGGGTTACAAATAGCCACATAGCGGTCATAGGCCATCAAAGCCAGCATGATTACCTCCGATACAATAAAGAACAAGAACCCTCCCAGTTGGGTGGCACATTCATAGAATGAGGTAGTTTTCTTCTTTACTAAAAAGTTAATCAGCATTTTAGGGGCAATGACAGTAGAGTTACCAAGATTAATGAGAGCCAGATGTTGCAGGAAAAAGTACATGGGGGTTTGAAGTCGAGAGTCAACACTGGTGAGGGTGATGATGCCCAGGTTCCCTGCCATGGTCAGCCCATAGAGCACCAGAAAGACCAGGAAGAGGGGAATCTGGAGCTCTGGACAGCTAGAGACACCTGTAAGAATAAACTCAGTGACTCTGGTGAAATTTTCAGGAGCCATGTCAGAGTTTGGAAATTCATCTGTTTGGGGGAAAAGAGAGGTTAAAAACTTTAAAGAATTATTTGCAGGACTGCCCTTATATGGCTAGGACAATTCCCTGATAACATTTCTTTGAATTGTTTATTACTCTAACTCAGTTATTAAACTCAAGCTTCTAGGTCTAATAAGTAAACTTGGTAATTATTTCAGAGACAGAAAGATCAAGTATGGAAACGTATAGTAAATTAAATAGATGATCCAGCATCATGAAACATTTTGAGGATTTACTTCCTCACAGTCTTATTGAATTATGAGTACATTCTTAGTTTGCAAACATTTGAAGCCACAATTAATATTTTATATCATTTGCATTAGGCATGAGAAAGGCTTGAGGTCATTTTATGTCTGCAAATAATCCAATTTCTAAATTTGAGACTTCTTGCTTTTTCTTAGGAATGGGTGATTCTAGGTACTATCCTAACCCATTTTCTTTATTCATTTCATCCTTGTATAATGTGTATTATGCACATTTAACTCATACATTTTACCATCCATGTCTGTTTGCTTTTTCTCTCTTTTTTAAATTAACTCTGACTAAAATACATGGAGATATGCCCTCACATTTATTTTTCAGGTGACAATTTTTTTTAGCTTTCAATGTATAATATTGGTGAAAATTGTATTAGTTTTGTAATTTCTTGGCATTATGCTTTACTGGATACTACTTTCTGTTCCTTCTTTCTCATGTCTTTTTGTTGGTTCTGTTTCACAAGTTTTTACAGCTCCTCATAGTTTTCACTTTGTATTTTATGTTTAATCACAATTTTTATTTATATAATTAGATATTATTTTTACCACTTATAAAGTATATCTGCTCTTTCAGTTGATTTTTATTCATCTTTTTTATATTTTTATATTTTTATCACTGTAATGAGTAAATATTGTTATTTTATAGACTTTCTGTGATAACTACAATGCTCATATTTGACATAGAATTTAAATGCTATTTTAATATGGCTAAATATTTCCCTTGAGTTCTTTATATTTAGGATAATCTTCTACCCCTAACTAAGCCAACTGGAGTCTCTGCTACAATTTATAGTTCCCCTGTTGTGGACACCTGGCCCAAAGAAATCCTGTCATAGTCACTTATTTAAAAATGTGGAGTTAAGTTACAGAGAGTTAACACTATATCATTTAAAATGCCTGAATTTTAAAATCCCAGCGTTGTTTAAATTTTGTCTCCTTGTAAAAAAAAAGATACAATGAAAAGAAAAATAGAAAACTATCCTGCAGTGTGAAAAAAGAATGAAATGAACCAAAATAATTCCTAACATTGTTAATATCCGATCTCAGTTTGATTCTCAAACCAAACATCACACTTTTTCTTGTTTTTCAAAATAATCTTCTTATTTATTTATTTACCACCTGTTTATTGAATTCTTACTCTGGTAACGTGCAAACTTCACATAAACTAGTTATCCCTTGTTTTATGGACCTACTATTCCAATGAAAGGAAACATACAAAAATCTGGTAAAGAAATGTAGAAACAAGATTATTGCACATTTCAATAATAAATAAGGAAATTAAATATGAAGATACATTATGACAACTTGGGAGAATATTTTCACATGGTATGTTATGGGAAGGTCTTTTTTAATTTTAGCAGTTTCTTTTTAGTTTTAATTTCTTTTTCTTCAACTTTTATTTTAAGATGGGAAGCCCTTCTTGAGAAGGTGACATCTGTATTGAGACCTAAAGGATCTGAAAGAACCAGATGTTTAATGAATCATAGGAAGAACATTCAAGGATTCTAGTGGAGAATGTATATGCTGAAAATACTGGTATGAGGTAGAAAATAAGTTAAAGCATTTAGTTTTTGAGGGGGTAGGGGGTCTTAATGGAGGACAGTGTGAATAGATTATAATAAGGAAGAATTAGGTCACAGTGATTATTTGAATTTTATTTATTTCTTAATTTTTTTTAGTTGCTGTTCATAAGTTTATTGTCTTTATCTGAAAAATCCTCATAGAAAATTGTTTGGTTTAGCTTTCAGCATCCTGCTCCTGAGCTCTGAGGAAGCTTGCCTTCTTTCGAGCTACCCAATCTTTCTTCTGAGCAAGGGACATTCTGGGATGGTTCTGCCTCTTCTTCATAACTTCTGTCTTGGGCTTCTTTTCATAAACTGGATTTTCTCCTATAGCAGCATGAGCTTTCTTATACGTCTCCTCCATCATGTCTGGAGTTATGCTGTTCTTTATATATTGAGAGAACTGTTTCTTGTAAGCATCTTCATCTTCTTCCATTAAGTAGCGCTAGCAACTAAGCTGCAACATTCTGGCCCATGATGTCCTTCCGGTGTACTTCTGCATTAAATCCCTTGCTTTCAGAATCATAATCAGGGAATTGTTTGGTACTGTGAGGGATAGACAAGCCTCCAACCGCAGCTTCCTTCAGGGTGCCAAAAACTTTATTGCCAGTGGTAGTTCTGGCAAGGCCTGCACCCAAATAGCAGGTAAAGGCACCTGGCTGACCATCAATGCTTTCCACATTGTATTCATCACTAGTCGCCTCCACTTGGCCTTCATAGATCTTGTCCATGCCAAACCTATTGAGAAGCCTGCAGGCCAGCAGCAGGCAAGTACAATAGGCTGCAGCATAATTTGTCAGGCCAACCTTCACACCATATTTTGGCAGTTCGTGTGCATGTGCCGCGCGGACTATCACATTCCCCTCTATACAGCCATAAGCAATCTGACAAATGATATATCTGTTTATTACATGAACTATCATCCAGTATTTGGGTGTGTTGTATTTATTTTTATCCTGTATCACCAAGCGTTTCCGAGCATAGTAATCAGTTTTACCCTCTCGTCGTCTTCTAAATTTCACTTGGTATATCTCTTAAAGTAGGCCTTACTCTTAACAACTTTAACAAACTCCGTCCTGCTGAAGAGAGGCCCGCATCCACGGCTTGACAGAGACCTGCAGGCCTTGAATTGTAAGCCATGACAAAATTTTAAGATAGGTGAAAAACATTATTGGCTTTAAGTTTTAAAAAGATTACTCTTGTTGTAAAGATAATGAATTATAGGATTGAAAAAGCTCGAGGCAGGGCAGGAATGGAAATTTTAAAATAACCACAAAAAATGAGTTTAGAGGTTGATATGGGATTTCTGGTATAAGATAACGTGGGCTTCAGCTAAAATGGAGACACTCAATATCAAAACATGGTAACATTGACAGGAGCAGAAACAAGATGATCTCCTCAATGTAATTTATATAATAAGTTATATAACTTATATATGAGAGAATGACAGATGGGGGATTTATTTTGACTGGGGTAACTAACAGCTGTGCCATTTTTGAATATGAGACAATATGTTTTAAGATGGAGTAAGCAAAGTGATATTTTGAACATATTAAGCTTTATGTGCTTATGAAACATTTAAATAATAATTTAAGCAAGCTAATATTTAAGTCTGGAGGATATTGATGTGGTTAGGCTTGAGAAACATCAATCTAGATAATGATAAAGTATTTTTTTCATATGTCAAGATTTTATAAAAATTTATAATCAAAATTCCTAACTTGTTCTTCATTCAGTTTGCATCATTTCCCACTGAAGATCAATCCTATTTTTGAGACTCTAGTTTTCCTTTTATTTCCAAACACTACGTAACAGGTAGTTGTGCTTCTGTGTCCCCTCCCATGCCCTTTTCTTACCTTGCCTTCCCTGGGTTTCCAATTTTAATATTCTGTCTGTAGCTTTCAGTCTATTTGTTATCCCCCTTAGCAAACATGCCAACTATCAGCCAATGTAAATGCTTACAGATTGTATCAGATACTCTGTTTCTGCTGAAACCTGGTGCTGTACTGGCTTTATGATTTATTTGAAAATTCAATAATTAATTATTAAAAAGTGATTTTTAATCACAAAAGTCATATTCATCCTATGATTTTCTCTTTTAAATCTCAAGATTGCACTATTTGCTAATTTCTATGAATACTTTCCCATCCTATGCACCTCCCTCTTCTACTTCCTTAGAGCAAGCCTTCTATAACACTTTCATTAATTATTGTATCCTTCTTGGTTCACCATGTTATGATTCTTTATGGTTGTACTGGCAAGAATGCCAGTCATTAAGGATTTTTGTGCAATTAGGTTGTGTTATCCAAGGTATTCATTAGAATAATTGAAATATGCTTTTACCTCATTTATCATCAGATTCACATGACTTTTCTGGTCATTCACCCTACAAAACATGCCTTTAAGGCATATTTTTATTTCTGACCTTCCATGTCTTCACTGTTATTGATTCTTCTGAGATTGCTTTGTTTTTAGTGAGAGGTAGAATCTTCTCTGCAAAGTTTGTCCACCATTTGTAGCAGTGGCTCCATACATTTAAAAACCAGAAATGAGGGTAGCATCAAATGAGGCTAATTAACTTTAATTTTGTAGTATTTAAAAATGTCATTTCTGATTACTCTCTAGGCATGTTCAATCTTTTCAAAAATGCAAATGAATTGAGAGCGTAGAAAGATAGATGAGCTTTTGTTTGTTTGTTTTTTTGAGATGGAGTCTCACTCTGTCACCCAGGCAGGTTGGAGTTTTTTGTTTGTTTGTTTGTTTGTTTTTGAGACTGAGTCTCCCTGTTTCACCCAGGCTGGAGTGCAATGGCACGGTCTCGGCTCACTGCAACCTCCGCCTCCTGGGTTCAAGTGATTCTCCTGCCTCAGCCTCCCTAGTAGCTGGGATTACAGGCGGGCGCCACCATATCCAGCTAATTTTTGTATTTTTAGTAGAGACGGGGTGTTGACCAGGTTGGTCTCAAATTCCTGACCTCAGGTAATGCACCCGCCTCGGCCTCCCAAAGTGCTGGGATTACAGTAGTAAGCCAGCATGCCTGGTCCTTGATGAGTTGTCTTTAAATTAGCACAGTGTTTTACGGCTAATGGGTAACAAAAATAGACTTTAATTTAAATATATATATATATATTTATTCCCTATTACTAGTTTTAGTCAACAATAATAGCCTTTTAAAAAGTGTGTTTTTGAAATACTTTCATTGTACTTAGGGTTTTCTTTTGTTATACAATCTGAGGGAGAATGAAAAGAAAGTAAACTTACTTTTGAACATGCTATTTTAGGTTAGTTGAACTAAGAGCAACCCAGGCAATGAGTTTTTTTCTATATTCCTCTTGATAATGTTATAGAGATTTTGTCCCATTACACCAGGAATCTAGGGTTGGATAGTGTATCTTAAAGTCTTGCTCCTGCTTTTGGAAATGTCTTCCTGCAAATTGAAGTCCTTTGTTTTGATGTCTAATGGAAGTTCTTCTTTGCTATTTCTTCTGAAGTAAAATGCTAACAGATTTATTTTATGATAAGATAGATGATTTAACTAAACACTTTCCATTATTGCAGTGGATTACATATTATGCTTCTATATATATTTGCTTGTACATTACCACATTGAATGGATAATTTTTCTGAGAATACTTGCATTCTAAACTTGTATTCTCAAAAAGGGGCATCATTTTGACTTTGGGTAGATGTCTATCCAGTTTTCTCTCATAGGCTATCCTGTACAATATACAATTTTTATTGTAAATAATATTGCAATAATACAACCATGATATAAACAGTCTCTATGAGCAGCAATTCCTAGTTTCAGTAGTGACATAATTTTTTAAGTACATGAGACATAATGATGCCATTTCTATTTTGGAGACATAAATAGCTTGATCATATTTGATGCCCTCTATTCCTAAAAACAGTTATAAATCTGAAAAACAAACTTATTTATCTTATCATATTTCTGTATAATGAGCTTTAAAAGATCCAAAACCATACCTTGGCTCATTTTAAGTATGGTTTTGATCTTTAAAAGGTCATTATGGTCATTATACAAAAATAAGGTAAGTCTTTTCCACCCACCTCTAGAGGAGAATCTGCTTCAGGTTCTTAGAGTCTATACATGACTGGCAGTGAGAGTTGGTGGGGCTTTAAAAGCCTTTGAGACCTTAACTCTGAAGCACAGGTGACTCTAGTATCTACACATTGCCTTTCATGTCTTTGGGGAAGGTGCCTCCTGGGACCGGTTTCTTAACAAGGTCTCCCTCTAGAAAGTCAATCAGACACCCCATGAGTCTTTCTGGTAGTCTGTGTTTATTTTGTATTATTGAAGTGAGTTCAAGTTCATTACAGCTAAGGGACATGGGGGTTAAACTGCATCTTTTAAAGTAATTCACTTCCATTCGGAGATTCATTATTGCAAGATGAGATATGTAAGAGCTAGAAGCTGATGGTATCACAGCTTTACAAAACCTGTTATCTATAAATAATATATTTATTATGTCACTATCTGTGTTGTCTCCCTTTAACTCTTATTTCAAAGTATAAAACATAAATTCCCTGATGAACAAAGGCATTTTTTGAAACACTAAACATTTAGCATGTATGCATTTTTATCCATGTAATGACTAATGGAATTGTTTAGAAAGGAATATGCCTTGGGGAAATTATCATATTTAGGAATTAAGTCCCCTTTGTAGATCCAAAGATCTGCTTCTACAGGCCTTAAATTAAAGCAGAAAATGGAGTTATACAGCATGATGACATTTATGTACAGTATAAATCCATGACATAGAAAACTATTGTATGCTTTGTAAGAGCACAAGAAAACAAACAGATTTACATTGAGTTATTTTGTGGCAGTTTCCCGATGGTGGTGGTTGGGACTGGGTAAAGAAATTAAGATGAAAGGTACACTGAAGACTATCATAACAAAATACCACAGACTGAGTGGCTTAAACAGTGGAAATTTGTTTTCTCACAGTACTGAAGGATAGAAGTTCAAGCTCAAGGTCTCAGCAGGTTTGGTTTTTTCTGGGGCCCTCACCTGGGCTTGCAGAGGGCCACCTTTTCACTGTGTCCTCACATAGTTGTCCCTCAGTCTGTTTATGTGCCTGGTATATCTCCTTCTCTCTGTCCTAATCTCTCTTCTTATCAGGATGCCAGTTGTATTGAATTAGGACCCAGCTAAATGACCCTAATTAAATTAATTGCCTTTTTAAAGGCTCTGTGTCCAAATACAGTCACATTCTGAGGCACTAGTGATTAAGGCTTTAACGTATGAATTTTGAGATAGACCATCCAGTCCATAACAAGAAAGAATAAAACATGAATAAGAAAGAGGTTTTGCTGGCTGAATAATGAAAATTTGTCATGAACAGAGGAACATAATTATTCTAAACCTCTTATGTTAGGCCCAAAACAGCTGAAAAGATGGAATCTTCATTGGGAGGAAAACCCGCTTCTGGAAATCTGTTCTACAGAAGTAATATGAGTTACTTAAATATATAAATAAAGTCTTCATAAGATTATTTTTTCAGTGAGATAAAATACTGAAAACTACACAGTTTAGAAATTTGTTAAGTAAACTCTGGGATATGTTTAGTATATAATCATATATTCTTTACAAATTTTATTTATGTAAATTATATAGAAATTTGAGGAAAGCTTCTGAGAGGCTTAATACTAAAGATAGTATTAAAAGGGTAATGTTTTACTTTATGGTCACACTTTTATGTGGAATCTAAAACAATCAAACTCATAGAAGCAGACAGTAGAAGTGGTTGCTGGGGATGAGGAGTAGCAGCCACTTGGAGATGTTGATCAAAGAGTATAAAGTGTAAGTTATGTAATGTAGTATGTTAAATGTAAGTGTGTAATGTAAATTATGTAAGTTAAGTGTAAAATGTAAATTATGGAGGATAAATAAGTTCTGGAGATCTAATGTCCAGCATGGTGATTGTAGTTAACAAGACTGTATTGTGTACTTGAAAATTGCTGACACAGTAGGTCTTAAATGTTCTTACCACACACACAAAACTTAACTACATGAGATAATAGATATGTAAATTAGCTTCATCTTGGTAATAATTTCATAATATATATGTTTATGAAAACATCACGATGCCAAGTGCAGTGGCTCACGCCTGTAATCTCAGCACTTTGGGAGCCTGAGGCAGGAGGATGGCTTGAGCCCAGGAGTTCAAGACTAGCCTGGTCAACATAGCAAGACGCCCATGTCTACAATAAATAAATAAATAAATAAATAAATAAATAAATAAATAAATAAATAAAACAAAATAAAAAATTGTCATGTTGTACACCTTACATATATACAATTTGTTGTGCCTATTATAACTCAATAAACTTAGAAAAATAAATAAAAGGGCCATATTATATTGGTTTATGTTAAAAGTTCAATAATTTACATACAATAAAATGCCAACTATATAGAGTTAACATTTAAATAATGTATTTTAATAATCCCGAAATGTTCCCCAATGTCTCTTTGCAGTAAATTCCTCCATATTATATCTCAGGATACAATTGTTATTATTTTTTTAATATATGTACACAGTTTTATATACAACGCAGCATCAAATATGGGGCATTTTCTCCTATTTTACACACTCAGATATGTTTAAAACACTTCTTAAGGCTACAAAACAGAACATAGAAAAACAAATAAGAATACATTCAACACTTACAAAAAGTGATATGATAAAGAATATAAAGTACTAGTTTTCTTTCAACACTTCAAACTATGTATATATACTATTTTTTTACAAATAACATCACAAATGATCACATATTCACATGATTTACATATTATTTATACTCATTTTGAGGCTATTATTATTTTTGATACATAAAATTTTTGTAGCTCTGAAACAATGCAAAATTTTTAATCCATTTCAGTAAGTTCCACCCAAAGTTGCTGCTTCCCAGCATTAAGACATGCAACCACCCCTCTTCTAAGATTTTCTAAAGCTTGTATGTCAGGGCAAAAGACCTCTTTTAAAAAGTAATCCCAATTAGTGGGAGAGTAAATGGCTGACATTGGTAGCAAAACCTTAGTTCATTGGAATTCACATGCTCGAAATTGCTATGGTTTTTATCACCATATATTAGTTTACCTGTTCTAGAACTTCATGTTAAAGGAATAATATTGTAGGTTGTGTCTGGTTAATGCTATTGAAATTCATCTGTGCTCCTGTATATAGCAATAGCTCATTCCGTTTTATTGCTGAGTAGTATTCTATTTTAGGAATATAGCACAATGTACATTTTTGTTTACAAACAGTTGAAATATTTCCATTTTATACTATTTTGAATAGAGCTATCAATAACACGAATGTACACATTTTTTAGACATGTTTTCATTCCCCTTTGATAAACATCCAGAAGGTGAACTCTGGAAACATGTGGTAGTAATGCATTTAACCTTATTTATAAACCACCACACTGTTCTCCAAAGTGAAGAACCATTGTACATGGTAATCAGCAAGTAAGATAATTTCAGGAGCTAATACTCTTGATCAAGTTGACACTCACTCCTTAGTAATGAAATATTTTAAATTTTACTCAAACTAGTTAATGGAAAATAGTATCCCATTGTTACTGTAATTCCATTTCCTCGATAGCTGAGGATGTTGGGCTTCTTTATCATGTGCATATTGACCATTAATACTTACTATATGAAATATATTTTATCCTATTTTTGTTTGATTGCCTTTTAGTTACAGCCTTGTAGGTGATATTTATATGTGTCTAAGGTCCCATATAAATTAAGTGGGCTTTTTCGTAGATAATCAATCAAACATCCATATGTACATGTGTTTTGGGCTCTATTCTGTACCATGAATCTATTTATCTATGTTTATAAAGTGCTGCATTATCTCCAGTACTGGAGGTTTATAGGAGGCCATGGAGTAGCTATTGTGAGTGCTCTAACTTTGTTGTTTCTCAAGATTATTTTGGCTATCCTGAATTTTTTCTGTGTCATATAGAAGCAGATCTAAAGCCGGATATGGGGAACCTTACTTTTATGCCATGAGGGTAGGTCTACACCTGTCCACTCTTAAAACAGTCACCTTTGGTGGTAGTTATTAAAATTACTTACTTACTGAAATGGATTAAAAATTTTGCATTGTTTCAGAGCTACAAAAATTTTATGTATCAAAAATGATAATAGCCTCAAATTGAGTATAAATAATATTTAAAAGCATGTGAATATGTGATCATTTGTGATGTTATTTGTAAAAAAAGTATATATACGTATGTTTGAAGTGTTGAAAGAAAACTAGTACTTTATATTCTTTATCATATCACTTTTTGTAAGTGTTGAAGATATTCTTATTTGTTTTTCTATGTTCTGTTTTGTAGCCTTAAGAAGTGTTTTAAACATATCTGAGTGTGTAAAATAGGAGAAAATGCCCCATATTTGATGCTGCATTATATATAAAACTGTGTACATATATTAAAAAAATAATAATTGTATGTATCCTGAGATACAATCCAGTCATTAGGACCTTTCAACTCTTGTCATGTAAACATTAGTAAGTACAGATATATTAAAATATCCTTGGTAAAAGCTTTTGGTGTACCAAGTCATTAATTAGACATGGAATGATAATAAATCAAATAAAGCTCAAGGTTTTAACTCTGGGAAGAAGTTTGAGAATGTATAAATACTAAAGGAATTTTATATAGGTTGGCAGCATTATTTTTCAACTACTCATGATTATAATTGTAAGCAGAATGTGTGTTTTGTGGTTATTAGGGAAAACAACGGTGTCCAACTAAGTCTGGAATATTATAAACTTTTTGTAGAAAAGAATGTAATGTTTGAAAACCATCTATATTTTATCTATGACATCAAATAGCTGATTTTAGACACCTATTATTGTCATTCTGCATTTTTTAATCACACAATTATATTAGTAAATGTTAGTATTCATAAAAATGTTAGTACTTCATTCTTAAAACGTTAGTATTTCATTAAAAAAATGAACAAAAGAGGAAACACCACTTAGAAAAAAATAACATTGCATGGCATTTATTCTCATTAAAATATTTTAAAATTATAATTTATGTATGCAAAATATTTACCCAACAACACATTATTAGAATGTGGAATAACCATATACATTTATTTGAGAAATAGAAATTACCAGTACTTTATTTTATAATCATAAAATATTTATTACAGCATATGTTTTAGGTGGCAGTTTAAATAACTTAAACTGTCAACAACCAAAGTTCATCAATCAAGGAATGGCTAAGTACAACGTGATTTGTCTATTTTCCAGAGTTGTATGCTGATATTAAAAATTTTTTAAAAAGAATTTTTATTGGTCAAGAAAAATTCTGCTGATGAATTCTAAAGTAAAAAAAAAATTGCAGGGAACATAATATAGCATGATTTTTTAAAAGCCCTTCTTGTGTGGATGGTATTACAGAATGCTATTAATATTATTTAATTTTAGTTGTGGATTATAGAAAGGGATAGAAATTGTAGAATTTGGGAAGGGAAAATATACAAAACCAAAGAGTTATATTTGTGCATTATAATATAAAATTCTACTATGAGGCCGGGCACAGTTGTTCACACCTGTAATCTCAACACTTTGGGAGGCCAAGGTGGGTGGATTGCCTGAGCTAAGGAGTTCACAACCAGCCTGGGCAACACGGTGAAACTTGGTCTCTACTAAAATACAAAAAATTAGCTGGGCGTGGCAGTGTGCACCTGTAGTCCCAGCTACTCGGGAGGATGAGGCAGGAGAATAGCTTGAACCCGGGAGGCGGAGGTTGCAGTGAGCTGAGATCGCACCACTGCACTCCAGCCTGCTCTACAGAGCGAGACTTAGTCTCAAAAAATAAAAATGTTACAGTGGAAATGTAAAATTGATTCCTAAAAATCAATATGGTTATGAGCAGGATCAGATGTTATCAAAATCAGAAGTAAACAAATTTGATATGATTGGGTAATGCAATTTTGTATTACTGTTATTATGTTCAGTTTATGTTTAGATGAAGTAAAATACATCATAAGTGAAAGAAGAGGAAAAAATGAAAGAAATGGATCTGGATAAAGACACTTTGGTTCATTTTCTGATTCAATTCCTCACAATTTTTACTTTGAACACTAGATTAAATTGGAACAGACACAATTAGAAAAGTGTATATATTTTTAAAATCGAAAAAAATAGAGGCCCGTCGAAACAATGGAAGAATACCAAGATGTAAGGAATTTATTTGCTGAGTGAGAGTACACAATGTAGATGCAGCATTATGGTAGAATACATTCCATGCCACTGTGTAGACAGGCTCATGAAGGAGACAAAGAAGACAGGAATGAAGATGAAACTAACCCTCGAGTGTGTAAGTTTTTTTAATCTGTGTTATTATCTCCATACATTTTTCAAAATTCTATATTGCTACCATTACAGTAGATGACGAGATAACTTATTTATCTTCAGGTTGCCAATTCTAAATCAGCTTATCAGGAAGTTCTCATAAACCAGTGTTTGCAATAGTGCTAGAATCTGTCAAGGAGGATCTAGAATAATCCAATATTTTTCTCATCATTCCTAATCAAAAACCTACTTTATCCCTAAGATATACAATACTAACTTCATCTGATTGAAAAACCTCATTCTGAGATAGCATACTTTATTGTGTTCTTAGCTTTAATGTTTACACAGCCTTTTCTTTTCTTTCTTTTCTTTTTTTTTTTTTTTTGAGATGGAGTCAGGCTCTGTCGCCCAGGCTGGAGAGTGCAGTGGCGTGATCTCAGCTCACTGCAACCTCCGCCTCCCGGGTTCAAGCAATTCTCCTGTCTCAGTCTCCCGAATAGCTGGGACTATAGGTGAATGCTACTGTGCCTGGCTAATTTTTGTATTTTCAGTAGAGACGGGGTTTCACCAAGTTGGTCAGGCTAAATAAACAGCCTTTTCATGTTATGTTATAATCACATATTTACTTACTTTCTTGCTTCCTATCTAGCCTACATGTTCTCTATGGTTCAATCTTATTTACATTTAATACCTAGTGCCTGCTGGGAAATATCTATTACTAATTTTCCGGTTATTTTTACTCTGTTTGAACTATATAAGCTTTTCATTTTAACTCTGCAACTCTAAGTTTGACATAATTTGCCTTATTTATAAATAGTAGCGGTTCCAGTATGATTTCGAAAATTGCTTAGGACATATATTACCTGAATATAGTATTTATTTATTCCATTGAGGTGGCAAAGAGTACAGGTTGCTCTAAGAGGACATGTTTTGTCCAGAAAAAGAGGAAAATCTAAGCAGATAGAGTATTTCTACTTTTTTTATGTTATAATTGGTTTGACAGAGTACTAAACAGATTATTGTACCCAACTATGCAACTGAGTATTAAGATATTAAATGGGAATTTTGAATCGATTGGTTAAAGTTCTCTTTAGAGCATCTTTTACTTCTTTGTTCCTTAGGCTGTAGATCAACGGATTCAGCATAGGAATCAACAGGGTATAAAACACTGAGGCCATTTTATCAATAGCCAAAGTATGACTGGACTTGGGTTGCAAGTAAATAAATAACAATGTCCCATAGAACATGATCACCACTGTCAGATGAGAGCTACAGGTGGAGAAGGCTTTGTACCTCCCTTTCCTTGAGTTCATTCTGAGAATGGCCACTAGAATAAACATGTAGGATATGAGAACAATTGAGAGGGAGAAGAGCAAATTACAGCCTGAGAAGATCAAAATTATTAATTCTAATTCATTTGTGTCAGAACAGAGTATGGACATCAGAGGGATACAGTCACAGTAAAAATAGCTGATTATGTTTGAGCCACAGAAGGACAGTTTAAATAACTTAATTGTGAGAAATAGTGACACAAACGTGCTATAGAGATAGGGAACAATTACCAGCACCCAAAGTACTTTCTCTGCCATGATGATCACGTACAGAAGAGGTTTACAGATGGCTACGTAGCGATCATAGGCCATTGCTGATAGAATAAAGAGCTCAGAGATGATGAAAATCTCAAAGAATGCTAGCTGAGTGGCATACCAATTGTAAGAAATTGTGTTTTTGTGCACTATGAAGTTTACTAACATCTTCGGGGCAATGACAGTGGAGTAACCAAGATCAGTGATTGACAAATGTCTAAGGAAAAAGTACATGGGGGTGTGTAGCTTGGAGTCCAAGTAGGTCAAGATAACCATGCCCAGATTGCCTATCACTGTGACCAGATATATGATGAGGAAGAGTCCAAACAGTGGAGCCTGCAGCCCAGGGTTGTCTGTAATCCCCATGAGAATAAATTCAGTCACCTTGGTCACTGCCGTGTGATTGTGTTTTACCACATGATTCATCTTGGTAACTGTGCAAACTAGAAAATCAATATTTATTATATTTGAAACATTATCTTCTAAGAAAATTAACAATTTGATGTATGAGCAATAGAGGTATTTCCTTTATTTCAAATTCTAAATAGAGTCTCCTCTTCCCATCAGGTCAAAACCACACAAAGCTACAGTCACATTCATTAAAACTGTGGTAAAGTATAATTAAAAGGGGCAAGATATTTTGAAGTTGTTGTTTTGATGTAGCTACTATGACCTACTTTTTGGACCCAGAGTCATTTTAATTATGTAAAAATAGCTACCACTTTTGTTTCTGCTTACCACAATTTTCAGGTAATTTGTAAAACAAACATCTATACATTAAACTTTACATTTTTGCTGATCATTGAAAGAAGCAAGACAAGATTTTCAAAACTATAGATGGAGTAATGAATAGGGCAGTAGGAAATCTCTGATCATTATATACATGTCAATACTTCTGTCTATAAATTCAACTTGTTTACCAAAAACAAAATTTTATGCCATAATTTGAGAATTTTGTTAATAATATCTTAATCTGCATTTGAACTTTTTGCCTATTGAATTGCTGCTTCTAGTGAGCAATTGGGGGGATGTATAATCCCCCAATTATACATCCTTCTGCAGGAAAAAAAAAATCTGGCTGTTCTTACAATTCATGAACATTTAAGAGAGAATCATAAAAAAGGGCTCAGTGGATAGAGAAACACAAATGAATATCAAGAACCTAAGCAAATCCATAGCATGCTAGGCAATTTTGCAAGTGCTTTACACATATTAACTCATATGATCTACACAATAACTTTAGGAAGTAGGCAGTAATATCATCCCCATTTAAAAGAAAAAGAAACTGAGGCACAAAGAGTTGGATAATTTAACAAAGATCTTTCACATTATAAGTTGTAGTGTAAGGATTCAAGTAAAGCCATTCTGCCTTCAGAATATGTTCTCATAAACACTCTAACACACCACTTCTCCATTAGGGATACCCTTCATTGTTAGGAAGTGAGAATGAGACAGGAAAGACACAAGGTAAATAATGATAAAGATCTTTGTTAAAATAGATGACTGAAGCATGAAGTAATTTGAAAGCTAAGGTGGCATAAATAATGACCAGCCTCGAGTATTGGAGACTGTATAACAGGTCTGTCTGCACATCTGTCCTATTGATGACAGAACAGTATATTGCAAGGGAGGCAACAGTTTTGCAGAGAATGGGACCCTTCCAGATTTTTGGTGACAACCTGCTTTAAGGATGTACCCTTAGAAATTTTCTAAGACCAATGTTTCCGCTTACCTCAATGGAGAATTTGCTTTGCTTTCTACTGCTTTAGGCCTCATAGGTGGCTACCGAATGGATTTAAATTTTTTCTCCTCCCTTGAGACTCATTGTGTTGAAATGTTAATCTGACCCAAGGTTAAACAAATTCTACGTAATTACCTGAGGGAAAGTGCCTTGAATATCTGTTGATTATTCTCCGAATGTTCCATTAAGAAAAAGTCGTAAATACTTATGCCTTTGTCTAACTGAAAAAATAAATTATGCAATATCACTAAAGACTGGAAATCACAAATGCCATTTTCAGCATTGCATGCAAATATTACATATATAATCCCCAACAAGTCACAAGTAAGTGAAATAATGACTTTCTTGAAAAAAGTTATATAATATTTGATAATACATCCATTGACCACATATATTTTGTTGAATATATGATTATAAACTGACATAAAACAATTTCTTATAAACTATATTAAGCTGAGAGAAGATAATATTTTATTAATTGTATTGTTTATGTCAAGAAATCAGTGGCAAATAATTTCTTCATTTGTTTATGATGTATCATTTATCTCTGGCTGTTTTTAAGAATTTTTCTTTGTTATTGGTTTTCAGAAATTTGACTATAATGCATTTTAGCATAATTTCCTTTCAATTTACCCTACTTGGAATTATTTTAGCTTTTTGTATGTCTAGGATTTTGGTTTTTTTTAAATACATTTAGAAGAAAATTCTGGCCAATATTTTTTACTGTGTATTTTCTGCACTATATAATCTCTTCTTTACACTTAGACTTAAAATTAAACATGACTTAAATAACTTGTTATTGTTCTACAAATCACTAAGACTATTTTCATGGTTTTCGTTCAGTATATTTTTACTCTGGCTTTATTTTCAGTAGTCTTCATTGTTGACTGTTTAAGTCATCTTTTGTTCAGTTCATAATCTGCCATTGTTCTCACTCAATATATATTTTTTATATCCAATACTGTATATTTATGTCTAGAAGCCCCATATCTGTTGTTTCATAAATCTTCATTTTTTTCTCACTATGTTAATGTTTTTGTTAAATCATTTAGTTTACTAAACATATTTATAACAGTTGTCTTAAAGCCCTTGCTTGCTAATTCTATCATTATACCTTTTCAATATCTACTTGAATTATCTCCAAGATAGGGCCACATATTCCTGCTTTCTCAAATGCCTAGTATTTGTGATTGGATGCTGAATATTGTGAATTTTGTGTTAATCAGTGCTGTATATTTTTGCATTGTTTTTTGAAAGAATATTAAATGTTTTAAACAAAGATTTAAGCCCTCAGAAGCATTTGGAGTAACATTTGCCTCTGAAATCTCTAGTGGGTGCCCAGTTGTTGATCAAGGATGATACGTTCCAGCTTTTTTGTAACTAGAATGTCTTCCTTCTCAGTGTGATACCTATGAATTGTTCAGCTTAAAATTCTTAGGTCATTCTTTGAAAAGCCTTATGGACATTT